>NC_000010.11:88779458-89082489 GCF_000001405.40 Homo sapiens | reverse complement strand
ATGGGGAATATCAGGTCATAGAATTTGACTGTCTAGGACTCCTATCAAAAAGTCTAGCTGGTGAATTGGAACATGCATATGTGAGAGTTAAACTATTTGTTAATAGCATACAATAGTATTAAAAGCACTTCGTTTCTAGAAAAGGAAGGGGAGTAACGGGAACAAGGAAGCACAATAATAGCATAACATAAACCTGCCTAACATGATTCATCCCAAATGCTCTCTAAACTTTTCAGAGTTAAAATTCGGTTTGTCCGGTGGGGAGGCATATATCTGTCTATGAGTGTGGATGTGTGTGTGTGTGGATGTGGATGTGGATGTATTTGTGTGTGTGTGTGTGTGGATGTGTACATGCATTTGTTGGGGGATTATTTCCAAAACATTTTCTTCGGAAGGTAAGTGGTAGGGACAAGATCTTGAACTGGTGTAGCTGCCCAAGAAAGTGGTGTGGCTCTACTTATATCAGATGAAATAGACTTTAAAACAAAAATATTATTAGTGATGAAGACCATCACTATATACAAATGAAAGTTTCAAATTACTAAGAATATAGAGCAATCTTAAGCATATATGCATCTAATAAAAGTATTGCCATAGATAAAGCAAAATTGATATAATTGTAGGAATAAAATTATTAACTCATTATCATAGAAGGTGATTCAACATATCACTCTCCATTACTAAGTTAGACACATCAATCAGCAAAGATATAGAAGATCTAAATAATACAAAAAAACCATTTTTGATCTAATAGGCACATGTAGATTTCTACATCTGATAGAGAAAATACATTTTTTTCAAGTACACACAGAAATTGATCATGCACTAAGCCATAATGAAAGCCTCCACACATTTCAAAGAATCAGAATCACATAGAGCATGATTTCTGACCACAAGTGTAAGTTACAAATTCATTTTAAATATATTAATAGGTAAACCTCACATACTTAGAAAAAAAAAACAAATTTCTATATAATTCATGGTCTATAAAATAAATTATAATAAAGATTTTCAAAGACAGTACTGTATAATATTTTAACAGACTAACAAAATTTGTAGCTATAGAAAAAAATGGTGTTTTGAAGAAAAGATGTAACCATAAATAATTGTATTAGAAAACCAAAGGAAGAATTAAAAAAAAAAGAGCTAAATGTGCACCTTAAGAGACAAGAAAAGAAATAAAATAGAATAAACCCCCAAAAGTAGAAGGAAAGATATAATTAAAATAGCAGTAGAAATCAATGAAATAGAAAATAAATATATAATAGAGAAAAACACAAAAGAAAAAGGGTGGTTTTTTTTTAAAGAAACTAATAAAATAGACCAAACTCTGAGAAGATTAATCACAAGAAATTAGAAAAAGCACACATTAATAATATGGAAAAAAAGAGAATATGCAACTACAGATATAGCAGAGAGTTAAAAAGATAAGGTAATATTATTAACAATTATAAGTGAACAACTTTAAAAACTTAAACAAAATGAAGAAATTACTAGAAAAGTATGATAAACCAGAAATGACTCAACATGAAACACAAATGTTTATCTATTTCCAAATTGTTTATGTGTAAGAGCACTTTCTTCCTACAATATCGACTCCAATCTAAGTTTCTGGAGGGTAAGAGATAGCTATGAACAACTTGGGCAACAGAATAAAGAGCTATCAACAGGAAGTAGGTAGACTGGAGGTGGGGGGTGGGGTAGGTCCTAAGCAAAGTTTTGAAACATAGATGGGCATTCATACTGTAGGATGATCAACAGGTGAGATGCTGGCTACCACCCATGGATGCTTCTCGAAGGAGTACAATGCGAAGGAAAACCCATGCAGCTCCCCAGCTGCATACATGCAACGTCCTCAAATGGAGATCCTAAGGTTGATGGTTTCAAATTCAACCCCCACAAAATTTCCTGGTGTTGGCAATTAGTGATGTTTAGTTGCATGAATGCATGAACGTAGATTGCTTCTTCATGTTGACTTCACTCCTCGATTTATGCTTTCCCCTTTCTTGGAATCTCTCTTCTCTCCCCATTCCCCATTCTCGGTCTAGTAGATGTTAGGAGAAGGAGGAAACAGTTCCTCTATTCTTCCAAATCTTTCAGTTTACAGCTTCCCCTCAGTTTTTAAATTCACAGGCCAGAGATGCTGCTTCTGTGGTTTTTCTCTGAGACTTTACCCTACCTAAGGCAATAGGTGACACATGATGTCCTAGGCAAGAACAGGACTGGGATAACCTCAGGATTTGGAAGGAGAGGAAGCAGGGGGAAAAGGAGCACATCTATTAGTCATTTGGAGTAGCTTCCTGCCACATGTGTAAATAATAGCTAGAAGACAAAGTGTCATGTGCCACAATAGAAACATGTAAGAGATCATTTGGAACATTACTGAGAGAGCCAGGAAACATTAATCAATTTTAGTGTTTTACGTTTCTTTAAATAACTTCATCACATGCTACATATTAGGTCAAGTTTTAAGATCAACAGGCCCCCTTAAGTTATAAGACTGGAGACCACTGGTTCACCTAATGCAACTTTATCTTCATTTTTTATTTATTGACTTATTTGTTTGTGTCTTTGTCAGAGAATTAAGAAGACTGGTCTATTTAAAACTTGTTCGTCAAGCAACGTGCTCATCACAAGCTTCTCTAAATGGATGGTACATCAAAAGACATTTATTTGAACAAATTTATTTGGAGAAAAATTCTCTTTGGGAATTTGGAAATAATTAGATTTAGGTGTTAGGTATCTTGGGAATCTTAATTTTGGGGATAAAATTTTCCATTTCTTGGAAAGAATGTGGCTAAAAGGCACAAATTATTTGTGATTTCACCCATGGAGGAAAAATGCAAAATGCACTAAATTATCTCAAATGTTTTCTTGGCATGGAGACAAAAATCTAGATATGTTTAAGCATCTGGATGACCAAGAGAACTATTCATCTCCGTTGCAATTATTCATATTATTCTGTCCTTTCACCACGATTTCTAATCACATCAGGAGCTCAAGGCAAAGGGACAAAATTTGGTTAACAGACATTTTTATGTAATTACGGTGGGGGTAATGTGCCTTAGGAAGGGGAGAAGACAGAAGAGGTCTTGTCTGGGAGGTTCAGTAATTGAGAATGAATGGAATACTGAAAGCAGATTTTTTTCCTAGAGCAAGTCATGTCCATATAAACTATGTAAGTTATTTTCTAGCCTGCTTCTACTTTTTTATATACTGCCATGACTTGCATTTTGTGTCAGGGCACAAGAATTTTTAAAAATACTTGGTGTTCAAGACCTTATTCTTGAATTCTTACTGCTGTGCCTCGACCCTGACATACCCTGTCTCTCTTTTTGAAACAGTTTTCTGTTTTTGTTCCTCTTTCTAATATTGGACTGTTGATATTCAGACTCCTCCTACTCCACCATTTTTATTTCAGTTTGGTCTCCATACTTCCGACTTTAAAAACATTTTTTTACCGTGGATTTCTGCTTTTGGTTTAATTATTCCATGAACAACTCTGTGAGTAATGATGCTTGTTTGCTTGTTTTGGTCGGGACCGAAGCCATGTCTCACTGTGTGTTGCACACACAGGCAGTTCCATGGGCAAGGCCTGGCCCTGAGCTGGGCCCAGGAATGGATTGCACAGTGGTTTTAAACCCACCACAAGCCATTCCCAGTTTGGGTTGGCAAAAACTTGTTCCAGGAGATGAGCTACACCCGTGGTCTGACTTTCACATGTTAACAATTATTTGCAGAGGAAACTTGCCCTAAGATGTGGTGCAAATAATACTAATCTATGTCAATCTTGGAAAAAATAACTCTACTTGTACACTGGACTGAATATAGGTCAGTTGTCGAAATTTTGGCATTAAGACAATTGACAACTGAGCATTCAGACAATTTGAAAATGGAGCAAATTCCAAACTCTAAATTATTATTTTCTGAGCTAAAAAGGTAAGATGCATATTAAAGCACTTCCCTGATTGATATAAGGAAGTGACATTGATTCTAGGAGAAAGAGAAGACCGTCTTCCAGAGGCACTGGATGTGCTAAGTGCTTAGATGTACATGTGGTATAACTTAGCATTCATGACCTTAATTTCTACAGTTTTCTGCCAGTGACTATCTGTCACATGTAGTAATTAAAAGTTTTAAATAATATGCTGGAGAGAATCACCCAGCTCTGAAGAGTCTGGGCCATTTCCCAGTCTAGGCAGCTTAAGTACCCACGAGAAAATAAGTTCTATGAGGACACAAACTGATTCTTTTTCATGATTTTATCCCTGGCACCCATCACAGTGTTTAACATGATAAATACCTGCTGAATAAAAAAGAATTCTGATGTTGCTGCTTATTGCTTGCCACCATATAATTCTTGTCAAGTAATACACTCTCTGTTGTAAAAATGACCTCGAGGTAAGGGGTAAAACTTGCTAAAATCAATTAACTTTTGTTGTGAAATTGCTCAGGAAATGCTGAAGATTTTTCATGAAAATGTGGCACTGTAGGAAGTTTACATTTTAGACTTTCTGTATTTAGACAATATTTATGACTTTGTCATAATTTATTTGAGAAGTTTTCTCTGGATGCCTCCTGTGTGTTAGGTATTATGCTAGGAAATGGAGAAACAGTGTGAGAGCATTGATGGTCTGCTGTACTCCAAAAATCAGCAAGTCATGGATTTCTTCTCAGCTTAAGCTGACACTTGAAGGTTGTCTTAGTGTGTATGTTGGGTTGGGGTTGGAGAGTGGGGTGTGGGTAAAGCTGGCAAACAGGAAAACCTTGGCAAATATTGCAGTTATCTGTTTAAACATACTAGGTGCTAGATGCACATTGGTTACTAGTGAGATTTAATTTTTAGAGAGCACAGGTGATACTGCATTTCTGAGTTAAGCCTTGTGGAAGCCAACTAAAAAGTCCCTTTCTTCCTTCAGGGAAGGATGGGAGAAGAAAGAGGAGAAAAGAAAGGAAAGGAAGACAGGAAGAGGTGAGGGATTCAGTAGACAGGAGGGAAGAAAACAACAGAGAAGGGGGAGGAAAAGGAAAGAGGGTGAATAATTTATTTCCGTAGGTCAAAATTGCCACTCTCTTTATTTTGTTAACATTGTTAAAACCTTTTTCATTGTGCTAAATGAATTGATATTACAACTGATCATTAATCTGGGAAAAGCCAGACAGAAGTCCAAGTAAAACAAGACTGTTTTTGCATTATTGTTATTTTTTAATTTTTATCTTTGTTTGAAACATGTGTCACTCTGTCACCCAGACAGGAGTGCAGTGACATGATCTCGACTCACTGAAACCTCTGTCTCCTGGGCTCAGGGAATCCTCCCATCTCAGCCTACCGCATAGCTGGGACCACAGGCTGTGTCACCATGCCCAGCTAATTTTTGTAATTTTTGTCTTTTTTGTAGAGACAGGGTTTCACCATTTGCCCAGGCTGGTCTCGAACTCCTGGGTTCAAGCAATCCACTCGCCTTGGCCTCCCAAAGTGCTGGGATTACAGGCGTGAGCCATCACACTCCTTCGTTTTCTGCATTGTTATTCCTCAGAATTGTTTCTTTTTCTCTTGGTCTTTCTCAGTTTAGTGCACAGTAAACTTTTCCTCAAACTTTGCAAAAAGCAGGGCACCCACCAGGCTGCATCTCCTCATGGGGGTGGGGGGGGGGACGTTTTTGCCCTTGTCCCTTGTCTTTTCTCCACGTCTCAGGAGCAGCCACCTTCCAAGGGGCCTCCACTTGACCTCTCTGGCTTCTCCAGGTATCCCCCAAACCTCTACAGCAAAATGAGCTCATCTCTGTGTTTTGAACTGGAAAAGAACAATTATTCCTTGCCTTCCTTATTCTTCCTCTGATTCCAAACAACCAGAAGAAACCCATACAATTTTTAAAAAACAAATAACAATCTGCATAAACAAGGTATAGCAGCAACTGAAATGTCAACATCTTAGAACTTTCAGTGCATGATCTGCCAGTCTAGGAAATCCACATGATGTAGTACTAGGTCTATGCTGCAATTTCTACCCAATGAAGAGCCGTTTGGGGTAGGCACAAAATAAAAGTTGCCATTTTAATAAAAAGTAAAAGGCTTGTATATATATGTAGAAGTCTGCATATGACACTTCGAAATGTGGGTTATAGTGGTGGCCAGTTTCATTTTGCAGAGTATGTGGAAAGTGAGTAAGATTTCCTATAACTCAGCATTACATGGAACTCTGCAGTAGCCAGAGACTAGCTATAAAGATGCTTTATGTAGCATCTGGTGTGTCTCTGCCATTTGTGGAAATGTTGAGATACTCCCTTATAGCTTGGTAGGTAGGTACTGTCCTGAGCCTGAACATTTCCATCATTCTAACACTGTAGCCCCCTCCACAGGACCTTTCTCTGAATTCCCTGAAGACCCAGAATCTAAAGAAAGTACATCCAGATTAACAAGTGGCACTCAGAATAGGGCTTCAGCTCCATGGCCTATGTCCCATTGTTGCCTGAGCTATACTGATTGTAAAATATATTTGAAAGTTATCCTGAAAATAATTATTCCAATGCTGTTGGCTTGACCAAACTATATACAGAAGATACAAAAGGGTTAGAAGAAAAAGAAGCAAAGTTATTTCAGATGAAACTGGGATCATTTCCCAAAGTAATAGCTCTCACCATTTCCCATCCTTAAGGAAAGATGATGAGGTAATTCCAGGGCCAGATTGCATATTATTTGGCGTCTTTTAATAATAAATGATACTACAGATATACACAGATGTAGGCAAAAATAGACATATTTTTGATAAGTGAAATGTAAACAGAATTTGTATAAATCAAATTATGTTTTTAATGTAAGAGAAAGAGTCCTTTTCTAGGAAGTATTGTGTCTTGCTTATACCGTAAGCCTCAGCACCCAGGAGAGTGCCTGAAATGCAGGTGCTCAATAACTTTTTTAAAAGTTAATTAATGGATGCATGTTCTTGTGGATCAACTAGGACTTTAAAAAACTTTCCTTCAATGCTTTCAACCCTTGTATTTGGGTATAATTTGCTCAGATTGTGAGAAGCAGAGACTGTTGTTATTAGGCTGCAGGCATTGTGTCTGATCTGAGCCTTCACTACTGACATACTAGAAAGTGTTACCATTTACCCAATGTTCACAGCAACATGCTGAGCATCTTGGGCAGAATGGTGAATGCAAAGATGACATAGAGTGAATTCTGACCTAAAGACCTAAAATAGTTTATATTTAGATGTTTTATACTGATTGAGGTGGTGAAGAGTGAACTAGTGGTATAATAGTAATCAAAGAAAATAACAGAATTCCACAATTTTCAACATATCTGAGATCTCACCCCTTTACTAGAACTTGGATATCAGATTCTCTTCAGGAATAAAGAGATTCCTTTAAACTGCTTTGGGATGAAGAAAATCTAGTAAATACAAAGCAAAAACTTCAGAAAGACAATTTTTTGATGCATCTTTCTTTCAAGCTACAGCCATTAGTTAGGGAAGGAAACAAATTCCATGGATACATCCAGCCTGCCTCTTGTCCCAACCTTATTTCCGACCTGTCACAATCAAGTTAAGGAAAGTTTTATTTTGCTAGTAGCAATGTGATCTCCTTCCCGGTCTCTATTCCCCAAACAACGATCCCTAAGATTCCCAGATCTGTGCTGACCTCCAGTGTCTCCTTGAGCTTCAAAATTTTGCAAGGCCGTGATTTCAAGCATGCTTCCAAACAAAATTTTGATGGATGGGAACTCTGAAGTCTTAATAGAATCTTTTCCTAAATTAAACAATACTTATAAATGCAAAGTAGTTATCCTTAAAATAATTCATTCTCCAATTGAAAAAAAAAACTCACATTGCATTCTTAAAGTGAACCATATCTCAAGATGAGAAGAGCTTGTTACATGCTATTCACACTTCTCCACTCCGTATTCTGGCCCTGAGTTGGACAGTAGTGAAGAAGTGATTTTTTTTCTCTTTCCTCAAAAAACCCAGTAACATATGCCACTGTCTGTTATGATTTTGCTAGCACCATTGACTAACTACCTGAGCACCAGCTGTGACTTCCATTAAGAATCTCTTTTTGGATGTAACTAGTGACCAAGAGTCCAAATGAAACTACCTTTATTTGCTGTTTCCTGCCCTCTAACCAAATGTTCTGACCACATGTTTGGCTTAGAAAGGAGAGGCTGTCGTTTCACTCCCTAAAAGCCAGTTTTTGCTAGAATGATAAGTGCTCCCAAGGCCCTGGGTGGCGGAACTGTTTGCCAGGTGTCACGTGCATGGCCATTATTTCCTTTCCAGGGATGTAATGCAATCTTAGCCTTTGAATCATGAATCTTTTTTGAAACAACATTTTCAAATATAAGGAAACAGATGAAAGAGTACATGTTATTTCAGTAAATGCTCTATTTTTTTTCTTTTTCTCTCTTGCCAAAAACAATAACCTTATCTGGGAGTCCCAGACCAAAACTTTTACCCCAAAGGCCTCTGAGTTAGAAAATAAAAATCACAATTTGGTTGCCGATGTTTAAGGCTCTAAAGCTCTTTCCCAAGTATCCATGTCTAGGATGCCGTCCTGTCTCTTGAGACTACAATGCTGTCTTTAGCAAGGCTCTTTTCTTTCTGAGTCAGACCCCTGCCTTTTAGCCTTAAAGATGCTCTCCTGATAACCCTAGTCTCCAAGACTTAATGGTGGTTCTTGGACTTAACCCAAAAGAAATTGCCACATTTTCTCCTGGCTAGGGAATTTCATCTCCTTTCTCAGTTTCTTGAGTAGAGCTACCCAGGATAGCTGGTGAACCCATCTCCTGGATTTTCTTTCCCCACTGCTCCCTCCTTTAATATTCTTTGCCACATCAATTGCCCTTGCATTTAATGACAACAGCTACCATTTGTTGAGCTATTTAATCAGAGAAAATTTAGCATTGAGGTTAAACGCATGGTATCTGGAGTCAGATTATCACATTTTGAAGCCTGAGGATGCTACACACAAACTGTGGGACTTTCATTATTTAACCTTCATTTGCCTCAGTTTCCTCATTCATTAAATGAGGCTAATAACTTTACCTCCCTCACAGGACTGTGTGAGAATAATATGTACAGTGTGTTTTTCCTGGCAGGTGGTAAACTCATATTAAATGCTAGCTCTGTTATTGCTACCATGTTTGGGTACAGTGGTAGGCAACCTCTACAAACGGCCCCTGATCCCTGCCTCCTAATATTCATGTCCTTGTGTAATCTCACTTTCCTGAGTGTCAGCAGGACCTAGTAACTCACTTCCAATAAAGAGAACATGGCTACTGCAATGGGGTGCCTGACAAAAGACTAATATCCAGAATCTACAAGGAACTCAAGCAAATCAGCAATAAAAAACAAATGATCTCTTCAAAAAGTGGCCTAAGGACATAAATAGACAATTCTAAAAAGAAGATATACAAATGACTGACAAACATACGAAAAAATGTTCAACATCACTAATTATCAGGGAAACGCAAATCAAAATCACAATATGATATCAACTTACTCCTGCAAGAATGGCCATAATCAAAAAATAAAAAAATAATAGATGTTGGTGTGGACGTGGTGGAAAGGGAACACTTTTACTCTGCTGATGGGAATGTAAACTAGTACAGCCACTATGATAAACAGTGTGGAGATTCCTTAAAGACCTAAAAGTAGATCTACCATTTGATCCAGCAATCCCATTATTGGGTATCTACCCAGAGAACAAGTAGTCATTATACAAAAAAGACACCTGCACATGCATATTTATAGCAGCACAATTTGCAATTGCAAAAATATGGAACCAGCCCAAATGCCCACCAATCAACAAGCGGATAAAAAAAATGTGGTATATATACACCATGGAATACTACCCAGCCATAAAAAGGAATGAAATAATAGCACTTGCAGCAACCTGTATGGAATTGGAGACCATTACTCCAAGTGAAGTAACTCAGGAATGGAAAACCAAACATCGTATGTTCTCACTCATAAGTGTGACAAAGCTATGAGGACGTAAAGGCATAAGAATAATATATTGGACTTTGGGGACTTGGGGAAAGGGTTGGAGGCAGGTGAGAGATAAAAGACTATACACTGGGTACAGTGTACACTGCTTGCGTGATGGGTGCACCAAAATCTCAGAAATCACCACTAAAGAACTTACTCATGTAACCAAACACCACCTGTTCCCCCAAAACTTATTGAAATGAAAAATAATAATAAAAACAAAAAATCTCCTCAGGTACATACAATGGCATATTATTTATAAAATTACCTTTAAAAGGAAGGGAATTCTGACACATCCTATGATATGGATAAACCTTTAGGACATTATGCTAAGTGAAATAGGCCAGTAACAAAAAGTCAAATATTATATGATTCTGTGTATATGAGATACTTAGCATATTCAAATCCATAGAGACAGAAAGTAGAATGGTGGTTGCCAAGGGCTTGGAGGAGACAAGAGGATTTCTTGTTTAATGAATACAAAGTTTGAGTTTTGCAAGATGAAAAGCGTTCTGGAGATTGGTTGCACATAATGTGAATGTAATTAACACTACTGAACTGTACACTTAAAAATAGGAGGGTCAATTTTATGTTACGTGTATTTCTATCACAAATAAATATTTCAAAAAAAACCTGCTGTACAGTGATTAAAATCCATAATAAAGTCGTGTCTGTATTACAGAGGAAAATTCAAATGTTTGTTAAATAGTAATGAATAAGTTTTTGCCTTCAGAGAACTTATATTTGGGCTAGAATCCTACCTCTGATTCTAACAAAGAAAAATAGTATATCAATGAAAATATATTTTAGCTAACTTCCATTTTCTGAATGTGGACTTTCAGAATGAGAGATTAATAACTTAGTGTATTGTTTGAAATGATTTTAACTGATTTTAACTGATTTGAAAATGCTATTAAGTAGAACCCATCTCATATATTGAAGATGAGAAAGACTGTGAGAGGCTGATGGAGGAGATTGTGGTGTGGCGGAAGGTGGGAAAGGAGAGAGGGGACAGAGGTCCAAAAGGGTCTTCCCATGATTGACATACTTGAGTTACAGCTGCTGAGATAGAGGAGAGGGTGCTTAATACAAAACATAGATGCCTTCAAAACAAATATTATATTTTGACTCAATAAAGAAACATTGGCATTTTTCAGCTTTAATTTAATTTATTACGCTCATGGAAATTTTGCCTCAGAATGCAAGTTCAATTTCTGCACTCAATATGATTATTCCTTATGCAGTAATTAAAGAGAATCATTGGCACTTTTTCAGCTTTAATTTAATTTATTACTCTCATGGAAATTTTGCCCCAGAATGCAAGTTCAATTTCTGCACTCAACATGGTGGTTCCTTATGCAGTAATTAAAGAATTTTTAGCTTAAATTAAATCCATCCCTGCAATATGTTCTGTGGGCTATAGCATTAAATACAATGCATGTTATCTTTAATACAAATTAAGACCTTAAAATATTTCATAAACTAGGCTAAAACATAAGCAATTCAATCTGAAAATAATCATTGTGGTATTGCAGCTGGTTCAAGCAGCTATATTAGAAGTGTCTACAGCTGGTCCTTTAAGCTACAATAAATGGGTTTGTTAAATATGTCATTTAAAAGTGCATAATTTGACCTGTTTAATCACAGCCTAACACAGCCTCATATTGAAATGAAGGTACTGTCAGTCTCTTTTAACAAATTTGCCTTCAGTGAGATTATAAGTTACAAGTAATATATTGAGTTTCCCCTGATAAAGTACCATTATTTGTGGGCCCTCAGAATTCAGACATGTTTTAAGGGATCTCCTTTATGTGAAGGCCTTGTTGGGATTGGTGGCTGGATGTATGATATATATCATATATTAATATATATGGTAAGAAAGAGAGAGAGAGGAGAGAGAGGGGGAGATTGAAAGAATTAGCTCATATCATTGTGGTGCTGGTAAGTTTGAACTGTCTTGTGTGGGTAGCAGGCTGGAAACTCAGGCAAGAGTTGGAAGTCTCTGTCCTGAGCCTAAAATCTGTAGGTCTGACCAGCAAGCTGGATACTCAGGCAGGATTTCTATGTTTCAGTCTTGAGGCAAAAATGCTTATTCTTCAGTAACCCCCAGTTTCTGCTCTTAAATCCTGATTGAATGAAGCTCACTCCATTATCAAGAATAATCTCCTGTCTGTAAAGTCAACTGATTGTAAAGATTAATCAGATCTACAAAATACCTCATTGCAGCATCAGGCTAGTGTTCAACCAAATAACTGGGCACCATTGCCTCACCAAGCTGACACATAAAATTAGCTATCACACCTGGTCACTAGGGCTAAAACCCTAAGTAACCAGGAAATAGCGGCTACCTCTTAACCCCTGAGACTGAACACCAGGTAGACAAGGGGCTTATTTCTCAGGGACTCGGGGACCCTGTTAACACAATATGGCCTCCCAGTGTCCTACTTGAAATCCAGAGTTGGTCTCTGGGATCTCTTGCTACAGGTGGATCCTGCATTCTAGCTGTCGTATCAACGCTTGGAAACTGCCCTAATGCCTCTCTGCTTCTCAGAGGTTTTCTGTTCCACTTCTTAGCCTCCTTCCATGTGCAACTTCAGAATTCAACAAATGTCTTAAGGAGAAAGATAGCAAAACATTGGACTCAGTTCGCTACTCTTTCCTTTTCAGGAGACTTCTTGGCCCTCAAGGTCTCTAATTTTGGTTAGTCTAACCCAAAGAGTCAGCCAAAAGCTTTGCTGGCTTTTCTGCTTCCTGGCAGGTGGCCTGAGCCTTCCACCCGCATACTCAATTTCTTTTAGTAGCAAATGCCTTGAATGAAAAAATGGATTCAGAATGGCAGCTCATCTCTGTTGCAGTGATCCCTTCTCTGTATTTTGTCTTAGGTTCCGGTTACTTTGAAAACTTTCTGGTGGCTTAAAGCAGATGTTTTCTGCTAGTTTTTCTCTATTCTAATTGTTTTCAGTGTGAGTGTTTGTCAGCTGTATACTATTCCATTATACTCCTTTTTATCTCTCTTTTGTAGTCTCTCTCCAACTTCTTAATACATTTAATTCTTCAATCCATCTCAAACTTATTTTGTTTCAGATTAAGAGGTTAAAAAATTTTATCCCAAAGTATCTGAATTCCCCAACATCACTTTACCCCACTCTGAGCAGAATAGCTGCACCTCCATGGGTTCTCTTATAGACAAATTTAACTAATATTTTCTAGATATTTTGTAATTTAGATGTTGACTTTTATTTTGTTCCTAGATTTGAAGAAAGAGGGCTTTTTAAGAAAATTAATCTCCAGGTGATAAGCTTTTCCTCCTAGTTTTGTTTTTATGTTTTAATTTTATTATATTATGGAAATATCATGTGTATGTTCTATTTTTTGGAATTTATTCAGTGTTATTTGTATCTTAATATATGGTCTCTTATTGTGTTTCATAATCACTAAAAAATGTACAAATTCTGTGAATGTTTATGTGTTTGTGAATGTGTATGAACATATAATCTATTAAATTATTTTGTTCTCTGTTTCTCAGAGTTTTGAATTTGTCCTGTTGTAGGTCAATAGATACAAATTAACATCTTCAACTGTGACTATATTTCTATTTCTTGTGTTTTCTACAATTTCACTTTATGAATATTGATGCTATTATTCATCTACATGGATTTGACATTTTATCATTATATAGGACACTTATTTGTCTCTTCCAATGTCTTCTGCCCAGAAATCAACTTGTCCCTGCAGTAGGTAATGTTATCCTATTTACTTTTTTTTGATAATACAGATATATTATGTCTTAATTTTGTTGTGCTTTCTTTTTTCACTGCTTTAAAAAAAATCTTTCTCTATCTGTGTTTGGCTTTATTTAGTGAAGATAACTAAACACCAAACACAATCAACAAATTGTGTTTGTTAAATAAACATACACCTAATATGTTTTTAATGGTCTTAATGGTTTTTAATGGTCTTAATGGTCTTTTAATGGTCTTTAATCTCCCATTGTGTTTCATAATCGTAATAAAAAAGCATTAAAAGAGAATTCTTTTAGCTATTAATATTACTTCTCCCCAGAAAACAAGGACAGCAACGTCAGAGTTGCTCAGAATTTAGTCTCTCTCCTTTCCCTGTCTCACTGACAGACTACTTCCTACAAAGATTGTGGGTTTGTGAGTTTCCCCCTTCAGTTATCTCTTCTCTGCTCTTCCATGGAGACAAATAAGACCAAGGAAACTTCAGCTTCTGGCCTTCATGCCCCGTTCCAAACAAAGAATTGCTGACTTTGCCTCCTGGGTTGTATCACTTTCTTTGCAGCCCCTTCTCTGCCAGCTTTAGGTATTCTCCTTCAGTGGCATTTCAAAGCTTAGTTTGATCTTCCCTACGCTTGACAACCTTTCTTCTGTAATGGCTTGGGTTACAGATTCTGTGTTTCATTGTCCCTTTTTTGTGATTTTGTATTGAATCACAAAGAAGGAAATGATTAGAACTTTAATTTGGCATCTTAAAAGAGAAAAATAATAGCTAACACTTAAATACTTTACTTTGTATATGCCAGGTACTATTCAAAGCATTTTTTCATGTAATAACTAATAATCTTCACTTTGCGAATGAGGAAACAGTGACACAGAGAGGTTAAGTGACTTATCTTAGGTAAAAAAAAATGGGAGTAAATAGATGAGCCCAGATTTGGAGTTAGGCAGGTGGGCTCCAGAGTCCATGGTGCACTTTGCTATACTGCCTTTCAATCTCATTTATTTAATAATTTACACTTTTCTTGCTGTTGTGTGATTTTCCTTTAATGTGTATGTGAGTACATATACTCCAATTATTTTAATTGCTATCCTGGTCTTCCTGTTCTGTCATGAATCAATGCCATTCTCTGTTTCTTTCTTTCTTTTGGTAGTTTCAAATGCATTTTAATACCTGTGAGGTCAATTCTCACTGTTTTAATTTTTCAATTTTTTTCCTAACTACTCCATTATCTTTATTCATACAGATGAACTTTGAAATCATTGTACCAGGTTTCTAAAAAATCATCTAGTGATATTTTCAATTGATTGTATTAAACTTGGAAATTATTTTGAGAAGAAATGATACATTTATAGGACTTTGGTTCACTACATTTATCCTTTTATAAATAGCATTCTTATTTATTTGCAAGACTGATCAATAATAAAACGGGAAGGTATAAGTGAAATAGAATGAAAAAGGATTTTGGACACAACACAAATTTAGATATATTAAATGAGTACTGTAAATAATTCATAAGTATGGCTGCTTATAAGAAGCTTTTGGTATTTAAAACTTGTAAGGGATTAATATCTGGAAAATACAAGAAGCTCCTGCAAATCAACAAGAAAAACAATAATAGACTACTAGATAAGTAGTCTAATAGTCAAATTAAAAAAAATCAACTGTCACCTTACTTGTTAGACTGGACAAATTAGGAAGCTGGATAATATTACACAGCTGTGCTGTGCTCAAATGTCTCTGTGAATATGTTGGTAGTTCATCTCTGTGGGAGTTTGGTTATTGATTCTAAAAATTCCTTCTCTGATTGCACTTCTTCAGGATCAGGATGATATATCACTTTTTTCTTCCTTCAAATAAGTGTATTTGAAAATAAATACACATGAGATTTCTATATAATATCACTATACACAAACAAGAATGGCTAATATTTAAAAAGACTGATAATAGTAAGGATTAATGAATATGTGGATAAATCAGAATTCTCACATACTTCAGTTGAGTATAATTTGAAATAGCCACTTTGTACAGTTAGTATTTATTATCTACTAAAGCTAAAGGCATCCTTATTTTTTGATCTGGCAATTCCACTTTTAGGTATATAACCAAAAAAATAACATGCAATATGCTCCTCAAAATACAATCACTGAAATGCTTATTGCAGCATTAGTTGTAAAAGTCAAAAACTGGGTGTGGGGGGCAATCCCCAATACCCATCAGCATGATAGGTGAACAAATGTGATATATCCACACAATGAAATATTACACTGATCTACAGACACATGCAAAAATATGGAGGAGTCTCACAGACATGGTGTTGAGCGAAAAAAGCCAGACCAAAAAAGAGTACATACTGTATGAGCCATTTTATATAACACAAAAACTAGTGGAACTCCTCTATGCTGCTAGGTTACCCCTGGATGGGCAGGGCTGGAGGGAGCCTGGGGGGGTTTCTGAGATCCTGTTGTTATCCTGATTTTTTATTTGGCTTCTGGTTATGTAAATGTGATTAGTTTGTGAAAATTTGTTGTGCTGAACACTTAGGATGTACATACTTTTCTGCAGGTATGTTGTACTTCAATAGAATGCTTTTAAAGTACATGTATGCAGTTTTCCCTGCAGAGGCTCAGTGAAGAGGGCAAACTGTCAGTCTCTCAAGACAGTGAGTGGTTTTGATCTTTCTCAGACAATGATCCTTGATTCCAGAGAAAAGCCTGGCCAGATCCCATAACTTTTAACCATAAAGAACCAGATAGACCAAAGTGAATGTTTAAAATATAGTTAACCTATTTTTCAGATTTCAAAAATGGTTGAGTGGAAAAAAAATCAATAGTATTTTCAACTAGAAAGACTGTCCCATATTGACCTTTATATTAATTTTCTGGATAGTTGAATTTGGAATTTCAAAGCTTGTAGGGGTTTCTTTGGGGAAAAATGTGAGTTTTCCAGTGATAGTGTTACTAACTATACAGCTTGGAAGTCTGCATCTATTTTGACAAAATAATTTGTGTTTAGTTTACTAATATTGTAATATATTCAATTCTTTTGGAGAAAGAAAACAGACATATTTGTGGATAATTTGCATTGCCTCTTCTCTTAAAGTTTTGCAAATAATACATGATCAATGTTCAAGATGCCATTTCTCTTAGGAATTCAAATTCAGCCATCATTAATAGAGAACTTCCTTTGCACAAAGCACCATTCTGGATATTTTATATTTTTCAATTTAATTTTTATTTCAATTGTGTGATGTGGATATTTAACACCATTATATAGATAAGGAAACTATAGCTATCGAGGTTGATTTATCCAGCTAGAATTCTGACTCTAAATCTAGGACTTTTAAAATATCGTGCTAGGTAAACTTCACAGACTGTCTTCTTCTAGAAAATGTCATTGCAGAGAAATCTAGGAGGCAGGGAGCCATATCCTGTTGTCACCAAGGCATCATCCTATGCTCATAAATCAGCAGATGTGAGGCCAGGAGAAGCAGGTATGGAGAAAGGAATACAGGCTCAGGAAGGTTACGGGCAGACAGGGAGAGCTTGCCAGGGAGAGTTTTCTAAGCATTTCCATTCTTTTCTACTTAGGATGAGGGCTAAGCAAACAAAATACAGTCCACAGTTTTTTTCTCTGAATCAAACATGAGTTTGACGACCTTATTATAGGGAAATTTACCAGCCCTTTTTCATCTGCACAAGATATTGGTAAGAAGAAACAAACCACAGAGCCCTTTTGTCCCATGATCTTGACCTTGGAATTGCTAAAGAATGTGCTCGTTTTTCTTTGTCAGTAGCTGTATTGGAACTGAAGAGTGAAGAAATTGAATTTTGTAAACAGAGTTTGGAAAAGACGCACTTTGGTTCCAGGAAAGAATTCACAGTGACTCCACTCAATAAGAGTTGAGTTGGCAGCTTCAACATCTTCTCTGGGAAGCCCCCGAGTAGCTTGGAGAATTGATGTTGCATAAAAGGATAATCATTGTCATTTAAAAGAATTAGTGTTTGGGTTCTTCGAGTGACATTGTGAGAAGAAAAATATTTATTAAAGATTGGCCTGTAGAAGGAAAAACTAGACCCCAGAGACAATAACAAGAGAAAAGAGTAGTGATCTCAACTCTCCTCCTATTAGGGAAGAAAAAGCACACACACACACACACAAAAGTAAAAAAAAAATGTTGGGGTGACTGACATTTTATTCTTTATGCCTTTCCCTTTAAAACAAAAATAGACTTGGAAGTGGAATAGTGAGACCACTTACATATGTACAAAATTTTACTCTTAAAACTCTCCTTGACCCTTAGAACCTTAGCCCTAATTGCTATTTTCACTTCTAAATATCATTCTGCATGCATTCATTTATTGAATTGTTTGTGCCTACTGAGTCTTTTTTTCCCTTTGGTTGAAAAAGTCAGCTTTCAGAGGCTTTTAATTTTCTTCCAGATTCCTTGAATGACCTCTAAGTTACTACCATAAAAGCCAATTGATGCACAAATATTTTTCCAGAGAGGGGTCATGGTTTTGAAATTTAAGCCTAGGGCTATCATTTGAGCAAAATCTTTTGTTATTTGTGAATTTGCTTTCATTTGGTTTTCCACTTGAAACTAATTAAATAATTTGAATTGAAACAAGTTGAGGTACATCTGGAAAGAGCAGCTGCCAAATAAATGCTTGTTGAGTTAATAAATAAATGAATGAATGGGCTAATCTACTTAAATCTGATTCTGTCTCTGAATCTGAGAAAAAAAAAGTGGTTGAAATGGACTCTTCCTTGATTGGTCCAAGACTTTTACAGGACACTGAAATCTCTAGTTATTTTCATCGTGAATAGTCCTCCGGAATTTCTTTAATGAAGAGATCTTGAATATACAGCTAACCCTTAGAAGAGGTTACAAACTAATTGTCTCTGAGCCAAATCCAGCTCCAAACATATTTTATTTGACATTCACAGTCTTTTAAATTGTTTGAATTTAAATTTACAAACCAGGAGATTTTACCTAAAAGCATAGGTTCTATCTCTTCTTGCACTAGGTCTGCACATCTCCACAATATCACACACGGAACAGAATAGCAGCTACTTGCTGTAGATAAGGCATAGGCTCTACAACTTACTACAGTCCACGTTTGCCCTAAAAGGGATTACTATTAATAGGTATTGGCACTGTTATTTTTCATATATATAGTAAGCACATATTTCTCTGTGTTACAAATTTAGACTGAGAGCTGTATAATTCTAGAAAAAAATGGAAAAAAATCATCTGTTTTTCTTTTAATAGAAAAGTTCATTTTATATAAAACTTAAACCTTTAAAAAAAAAGTCTGCCTGGCTTCTTTGGGCATCTGTGCTTATTACTATCTTTTTTCTGTGATAGAGATTCTTTGCTTTTTGTTTCTAACAAAGCAAAGAATCTCTATCACAGAAAAAAGACGGTAAAGCAAAAGTTTTTGTTTCTGCTTTTGTTTCTTTTATATAAGTCATAATGGAGAGAAAATCTATTTTTGTCTACAAATCTTTTTCAATGTTTTAATTTTTTCTCTCAAGGTTTATCTGAAAAGTGATTTCATCAACCCATGTTGGAAGCTTATCAGACACTGCTGGTATGGGGCAAAAACTGGGGAGATGAAACCATGAGTCGATTCAGACAAAAAGTCAGTCATGGACTGGGACCTGGTATCACACACTGGGGCTGAGCCAAGCTGGAGTCAGGCAGGAAGCCAAGGACTGGAGCACCAAAATCAGACAATTACCAAGAGGGGCCAAGTCAAGAACTTACTGGAAGAGCCAATTCAGAGATCAGGAAACTTGAAGAAGAAAATATGATTGGAACCTATATCCTGTCTAGGTCTCAAGACTTCAACACACATAGAAGCTTGAGGCCACACTGGGTTTTTGGCAACTAGGTTTATCTTAAACTTAAAAAAAGTTTTTAAATCATGTTCTAACTAATTTTTCCACCAGGTAACTTGATATAAACATACAAATGGTTTCTTTAGCAGCTTCTTTTAAAGTATATATTTTATTAAAGTATAACACACATTCAAGTGTTCAGCTTAGTGAAATTTTACAAGTGAACATACCAGATAATCAGCAAGTAAATCAATACATAAAACATTATCAGTACCTTTATGCCCTTACCAGGTACTACTCTTCCAAGGATAGCCACTATGCTCATATATAACACATAGATTACTTCTTTCCTGCTTTTTATTTATACTAGTGAAATAATACAGTTTATACCGGCTTCTTTTGTTCAACATTATATTTGTGAAAATTATATATGTTACATGTAGCATTGTTTTTCTGCTGTTGTATGAAAATTCCACAATTTAGGCATTCATTCTATTCTTGATGGACATTTGAGATAGTTTTGGTTTGGTGCTGGCACAAAAAATTCTGCCATGCACATTTTTTTACATGTTTTATTGTGACTATATGTATGCATTTCTTCTGGACATACGCTCGCAAAGGAAATTGCCAAGTCATAGAGAATGTTCATGGTCAGCTTTCCTAGATACAGTCAAATAGTATTCCAAAGTATTTATATCAACCCATACTCCCACCAAGAATTTAGGAGAGTTCTGGTTGATTCACAAAATCACCAACACTTGGGATTGCTTATTTATTTTAGCTATTCTTGTAATTGTGAAATTATATTGGTTTCAATCAGCATTTGAACTTTTTTCCTACGTTGGTTGGTCATTTGAATATCTTCTTTTGTAAAGTGTCTTTTCATTTCTTTTGCCTACTTTATCTATTATGTTATCTGATTTTTTTTCTATTCACTTTTGGGAGTTTTAAAATATATATTCTGTATATGAAATTTTTGGTGATATCTGTATTGCAATATCTTTGTTCATTCTGTGGCTTGTCTTATCACTGCCTTAAAAATATGATTTGATGGACTCTCATTCTTAATTACAGTAGCATCCAATGTATCTTTTTTTCTTTATGGTTAGTGCTTCTAGATTGCATCAAGGTCATAAAGACATTCTTACTAAGTTTTAACCTAGGAACTTCATTGCTTTACCTATCGTATTTCAGTCTACCATCTGTCCATCTGAAATTAATTTCTATTTCCAGTGAAAACAAAAATTAGGAATGAAACTTTATTTTGTTCAATATGTATATCCACTTGGCTCAACATCGTTTATTAAAATCATCCTTTCCGTGACCCCACTGCACTCCAACAATCAAGTGACCTTGAATATGTAGGTCTGTTTCTGGACCCTCTATCTGTTTCATTGGTCTGTGTGTCTATTCTTGCACAAGTACCACACTGAAACTGCTTAATTACAACATTTCTTAACATCTAGTAGTGTATAAGCTAGTAAGGTTTGTTTTTCCTCTGTAATATTGTCTTAGATTTTTGCATTTCTTAGATTTTGCATTTCTGATATAAATTATAGAGACATCTTGTTACTTTCTACATGTACACACTTACACACACATACACATACACACAAACTTGTTTGAAATTTGATTGAATTTTCATTAAATTTGTAGACATTTTTACCATGTCGAGTCTCTTTATTCATTAGCATGGCTTTAGTACTTATTTATTAGGCTTTCAGCTTTTTCTCAAACTTACTTATATTTCTCAACCCTACTTGTATTTCTCAAAAGAACACATTGATTCTTTTGTATCTCACAAGTGTGACTGGGTTTTTAGGCTCATGTGTGAGATGAGCTTCCCTCAAAAATTGTTGTGACTGTGGCATGTTACCTGTGTGATGTGAAAATAAAAAGGCCACACCATCTTCCCTAGGAAATTTAAAGGAACATCACTACTATTTTTAAGTTTTTCACTATTTTGTTAATATATCCTTTTTCTGATTGCATAAAGAATAATTATTTAAAGTATAAAACTTTAAACTACTAAAAAAGAAGAGAGGAAGTCAATAAAATTTCATTCGTGATCTCAACCATCTTGTATTAGTGTATTCTTGCATTGCTATGAAGAAATACCTGAGACTGGGTAATTTATAAGGAAACAGGTTTATTGGCTCACAGTTCTGCAGACTGTATAACAAGCGTGATGCTGGCATCAGCTTGGCTTCTAGGGAGGCCTTAGGAAACTTACAGTAATGGAGGAAGGCAAAGGGGAAGCAGGCCCTTCTTACACAGCCAGAGCAGGATCAAGAGAGAGGTGGGGAGGTGCTACAGACACACTTAACCAACCAGATTTCATGAGAACTCTCTCATGAGAACAGCACCAAGAGAGATGGTGCTAAACCATTGATGAGAAACTGCCCCCATGATCTAATCAATTCCCACCAGGCCCCACCTCCAATGTTGGGGATTACAATTTGACATGACATTTGGGCAGGGCCACAGATCCAAGCCATATCATATCTTTTATACTCATGGTGAATATTTTGGTGTAAATATCTTCCATATGTACCATTAAAAGGGTGTCATATTATATATATATATTCTTGTGTATCCTTCTTTGTCTCTTGATATTTCAGAAATATTTTCTCACTCAAAAATTATCATTTAAACATGACTTTTTAAATTACTAAATAATACTATGGGCATCAAATGTGTGGGTATCAAATAAACTATTTAATAAAGTACTTATTGGTAGTTTCAAATTTTATTTTCAGATAATTTTTTCTATTCCGAATAATGCTATAGCAAACATCCTTGTAAATAAATATTTGATTTTATGACTATTAGAACTTTTTAAAAATATTGAAATAGAGATGGATACACTTCTAAATGTTTAATTCTCATTGCAAAATTACTATGAAATGTTAACACCAATTGATATAAACCACAACATTGTAAGAAAGGGCCCATTTCTCTGGAACACCAAATGGTGTTGGCAATAAACTACATTTGGTAATTTTCCCCAGAAATATAAAATGCATTTTCCCAAATTTCCCCTGAAAACTTCAGTGCCACATAAGCTCTTTATGAGATATAGCTTCATGGTTAGTTTTCCTCTAGCGTTTTTCTCATATTACAGTCATATGATGGGATGAAGATTTTAGATATCTCAATCTCTATTTTTTTCTCTGCTTTCAACCTTCAGACCAAAGATGGCAAAACAGAAAAAATAAGATTGATAATGAATAAAAAGATGGATTGCAACCCATAATGGCTAGGGTTGGGAAAACAAGCAGATTTACTGTTGGTGGAAATGTACATTGGTATCAGTTTGAAAGGCAATTTGATTATGTCAGTATCTGTGAGCAGTTAAACACTTAAATGATACATATTCTTCACCAAGCAATTCCACTTTTGTAATTTTTTTCTGAAGGGAAAATTATAAAAGTGCACAAATACTCATAGAAATACTCAGTGCAGTATTGGTGAAATGAGGAGAAAAGAGAGAGAGAGAGAGAATGAAAGAAAAAAGAAAATGAACAACTATCATATAGAGAATGCCATGCCGTAGAACATCTATGGCACAGAATACTGTATTGATATGTAAAGAAAATGCTATATATATGAATGAATAGATAGTTAAGATATTCTGTAGTATAAAAAGGAAAATGAAGACCAATAGCTGTATCAATTAGGATTGATTCAAATCTAATACAGAAATCTACACATGCAGGTTTAATTTCTTTTTTCCATCATGATACTCATACACAATTATATTTTTATAATATCGTATAAAATATATTATATTTTTATAAAATATGGGAGGAGAGGGCTATTTGTGGACTGAAGGAGTCAACTAAGGACATCTCTTCCCAGGCCCCCTCATCCTCTCTTTTACATTTCAACTCAGAGGGATGCAAGGATCAATATCTCCGCATAGCTGTTACACAACTGTGGCCCTGCTATACATAATAAGACTTACTTTTCTTCTGTAACAAGGAATCAAAGGGCATAAACCCAGGGAGAACTTAGTGTAAAGCACCACAAATTTCATCAGGGACCCAGCTCCTTCCTATATTTCTTCTCTGTGATCCTTAACAGGAAGCTTTGGTCACAAGTTTCCATCTCTGGTCTTCCATTTTCCTTTCAGGTAGGAGTGAGAAGGAAAAATGAAGAAGCAGGGATGGCACCTACATTAGGAGAGCAAAACTTTTAGAAATCTTCAGCAGATTTCTGCTTCCATCTCATTAGCTAGAACTGTGGCACAAGATGATCCGTAGCTATAAGTAATGTTAGGAAAAGTAGTTTTTGAATTGGATACAAAGCTGCTTTGAACAAAATTGGAGTTTATGTTAGTTAAGAAAGGATAATAGACATTGAGTGGGCAGTGCCTGCCACAATACCTAGAATATTACTCCATTATCTTGCAAAGGTAAATTAATGTTTAGTTATACCAACACTTCTATACATGATTTCATGTATATGTGCATAGAGAAAAGGCTAGAGGGAAATACAGGAGAAGTGGAATTATTGCTGAGCCAAGTGAACTTCTGTTTTCACCTTATGTATGTTTTAATCGCTTCAGCTTTCTTACAGTGAACATGTATTCCTTTCATAAGGATACTTTTACAGATAAAAAGGTCACTCCTAAAATGAAATAAAGAAAAAGGGGAAGAAAAAGAGGCAAAAGCTACTAGGATTTCAAATTCAGATGCCAAGATGGTAGCTCTGTCATAAAAGAAAAAGAGCTTCCTAGTCTGAAGTCATTTATCTGGCACCATAGCTGTCTGAGCAGATCAAGTAAAACTTCGAGAAGCAAATTTTAAATCTTCAAGTCTTGGTATCTGTATGATTTCCCAAGTAGTTCAAAGAAAACATTGGGCCAACCAACAATATAGAAAAAGCTCAAATCCATCATCCACAATTTTTGTAGGGTCTACTAAAAAATTATACTATGCATATTCCATGGGAAAAGAAAGGACAAACAAAATGGCAAGATCTCTGGCTTCTAGCAACCAGTAGAAATGTTGAGGAGGAGACTTCCTGAACAAGATCCATCTGGATAGGTTATACTATCAGATATGTTGCTATTTCTGCGATGTGAAATGAGATGTGACATAAGTAATAATAAAAGTAGTGAGACCAGTTAATATTTACTGAGTGCTTACTATGTACCAGGCAGTAGGCCAAGTATAATGCAGGACTTCATTCACTGTAATTTTCATTCTGACCTTATAGAAAAGGAAACTGGGAGAAACCAAATGACTTGCTGAAGTCCGCACAGTTAATAAGTGGCAAATCTAGCATTTCAATGCAGTCCATCTGATGGGAGAGCCAAAGTTCTTAAATGCTGTGTTCCACTATTCCTCCTCACTCCGTGAACCTTCTATACAATCCAGAGATAATCCTGCTTATACTGAACTGTCTCCAAAGACTCACACTTTTGAGCAGACAACAAAGTTGCTGGCCTTTCATTTGGAAGACTGTTGCTAAAATGCTCTTGTAACCTCTGAGGAGAGTGAGGCCCTATGGCAAAAGTATAGTACCATAGATGGATTAAATCAGATTAGCCCTACTGAAGGCACAGAGAGACTGACTTAGATTGTGTAGGCCTGTAACAGGCCAAATACCAGTGCTGCAGGGAAACTTGAGGGGCATGCAGTGAGAGACAGCAATCACAGAGCTGGAGCTATGCTGGGAGTGTTGGTGCAGCTTAGGGATATAAGTTCTACTCTGGGGAAAGAACCCTTGAGAGAGAAGAAATGGTTGGGTTCCAAGGACTATGGCTTAGTTACATGATGAGCAGGCAGGACAGTAACTCCTCCTGCCTCCCCTCACTCCTCCTTTCTCTGTGAGGAAAAAGCAGCTGACAGGGCAAAGGACAACAGTGAGCCAAAGAGCTATGGAGCTGCTGTGGTCAAGGGTGTCTGTGCTTTTTATGGAATATGGTGCTTATCTCCATGGGTGTTTGATTCTTCATTCTGAAAATTATTTTTTGCACTTCTTCTGGGCCTAGTGCCTAGGTTTATCATTAGTTCAGAGTTACCTTTTTGGGTGGGTTTATCGTTTATGTATACCACATTCCACAGAATTATCCCTGAGAGATTTGTCTGGAATGGCATATTGATTTAATGCATGAATCAACTCCTCTTGATGAGTATGGGTAGCTGGAGAACTAGGTTAATAAACTGATTCCTGCTTTAGCAGAAAAGAATGCTAAGATGTTCACTATGGATGTGTGTTGGGGTAAGTACCAATTCTGATCCTGGGTCATGTGTTCCTGTAGTTTATGGTACTGAATCAGAAAAGGCATGGGAGATAGATGATAACCATTTGGAAATAAGTAGGGGTAAAAATTAGGTGAAAAATATTAGCGGGAAGATCCTGACTGAACACTGGGCTGGCTGGATGTAATAATGTAATAATGCTCCCTTAGACCAATCCATTTCTTGTTCTCTGAAGGACCTTTCTCCTAGCCCTAAATATGTGTCCTTAAATTGCTCCTGATTTTTTATAACTTCACCCTCATTTTCACTCCTCCTAGTCTTCTCTATTCTAAGAAGTTTACTTTCAACAAGTACATTTAAAGGGAGGAATTGCAAATAATAATTTAATTTAATTCAACACAATTCATTGGTCAGTTGAGGTGAATCAAATTCCTCTAGTTATAAATTTCTAAATTTATAAACATTCACACAAGGTATACATACAAGCAAAAGCATATCAACCCTTTCTACCACTAACAGTTTTCTCATTCACTAGTATGTCACTTTAAACTTTGAAACAAACAGCCTTATGAAGCTTTCCTTGTTCTTAAGCAGAAGCCTTCCCCCTCCCCCACTTTTTTGAGATGAAGTGTCTCTCTATTGCCCAGGCTGGAGTGCAGTGGCGCAATCTTGGCTCACTGCAACCTCTGCCTCCTGGGTTCAAGCTATTCTCCTGCCTCAGCCTCCCAAGAAGCTGGGACTACAAGCACCCGCCACCACACCCAACTAATTTTTGTATTTTTAGTAGAGACGGAGTTTCACCATGTCGGCCAGCCTGGTCTCAAACTCCTGGCCTCTAGTGATCTGCCCACCTCTGCCTCCCAAAGTGCTGGGATTACAGGCTGAGCCACCGCACCGGGCCCAGAAGACCTTCTATTGTATAATGACAGACCTTATCATGTACTAGATGCTGGAAGTACAAAGATGAATAAAACAGCCACTTCCCTTGAGGATCTCACAATATAAGCTGAGTATTTCCACAAAAAAGATGAACAATACTATCATAAAAGCAGTCAAAAGGGGGAGCACTTATCAAGAGCTGTGAAGGATCTGGAATTTTATTTTCTTAGCAGGGTAACAAATTAATCTAACACAATTTCATAGAAGCTGGCAAAAGACACAAGACTATAGCATCAAAGACGAAGAACTCTATTACTCATGACACAAACGTAAGTGTCCTCTTTGCTTCAGTTCCTTTTTCCCAACCATTCCCACAAGAGCGCTTTAGATAGATGCTGGACAAGCAGTAGATTTATTTCACAGCTGAGGGCCCCTGAGCTTAGGGAGCCTGTGTCTTTCATACCACACGGTGAGCAAATCTGCCATTTCCTTCAGAGAGAGACATTACATCTATCTTCCAAAGCTATTTGCCACGTAAACATTCTTAAAAAGAAAGGAACAAAAGGACAGCTGGTGCCTCACTCACTAGGCAGGCAGAAACACAAGATCCATGGAGAATTAGCTCTGCCTGGAAATTAAGGAGGGTTTCCCAGAGGAATTGTTTAATTTTAAAAATAAGTAGGAATTCACCAGGTACAGAAGCAGAAAGAAAGACATCTCAGAAAGTGGAAACTCAGTCAGCAAAGACCTGGAGATAGAATGAGGAAAGGATAAGGACAATTTGAAATTCCTTAGAAAGTAAAATAGTATTCTCAACTTCAAAGAGTTGACCAAATTTTGATCATTATTTAAATTTGTTTTGGCTATAAACTGATACCATAGTAGTCACAGCAGTGTTTGTGAGACAAATTATTGAGCTGAACACAGTGAGACTTGGGTGTAGATCAGGATGCATTCTGCTGGGCTCATTGCGTTCCTGGCGCTGCACAGATGAAGACCCCACCACCCACCCCAACTTCTCACAACATTGTGAGAACATTGGTTTAGCTACCTGAAGACAACGTTCTTCCCATGGTCCCCAGGCCCTTCAGATCTGCCAGCCACTCCACGTATGACTTGATCTTTTTTTCTGAACATATACCGGAAGTCATGTAGAACTGGAAACAATTTTTAGGTAGTCATGAGTCTATCTTTTAAACTGTTGAAAATCCGAAAGGCTAAGTCAGTTGATTGCTTCTGGTTCTGCTAGAATTAATGTTGCCAAAGCAACCAGTCAAGCAGTAAAGATATCATATTGGCCGGGTGCGGTAGCTCACACCTGTAATCCCACCACTTTGGGAGGCCGAGGCGGGCGGATCACCTAAGGTCGGGAGTTTGAGACCAGCCTGACCAACATGGAGAAACCCCGTCTCTACTAAAAATGCAAAATTAGCCGGGTGTGGTGGCACATGCCTGTAATCCCAGCTACTCAGGAGGCTGACGCAGGTGAATTGCTTGAACCTGGGAGGCGGAGGTTGCCGTGAGCCGAGATCGTGCCACTGCACTCCAGCCTGGGCAACAAGAGCAAAACTCTGTCACTAAAAAAAAAAAAAAAAAAAAAAAAAAAATCATCCTACCAGCACCATTAGTATTATATGTGGCTTTGGGACTGACATGGCCCTGCCAAGGAAGGTGCTGACCAATGTGGAGAAAAGAATTATTGGTAGCCTGACAACCCTTCCTGAACTGGGACCACCTGCATCAACATAATGGGCAGGGGAAAGAGTTGTGATTGTTAAATGCAGATTCCTGGGTGATACTCCTCTGAATTTTTAAACAAATTCCTTTGGTGGTTTTTATGTACTCAAATATTTTTATACACTCAAATATTAGAACACTCCTGCTAAAGATGGTCCTTAGGGAATGAGTCTGTTTGTCTGACTGAGTTAATAGACCTCTCTGGTGAGCAAATGCACTTCTAGGCCTTGGTGGGGAATTTTCCACAAGCTCCCGCCAGGGACCCTCCAACACGGCCTCCTAGGGAAGGATAATTCATTCTCGGTGTCTCACCATAGGGTTGGGCTGGCAGCAGAGGTTGTTTCCTCTTATCCTGAGGGTGACTCACACAAGTGACCCCCGAGTACAGTCTATATTTAATCAGCCTGTATGTGATAAGCCTCCGAAGAAGGTCCAAGTGGGTTGGCAGGCTCTGGCCAAGAGGCACATGGGTCATAAAGGTGAACAACACACAGTGTGGTTGGATGTTTAGAGAAGCACACTAACAATAAAGTCCTAAGAGCACCAAAAAATATGCATCAGGGTAAATGTCATGAAGGCAATAAATGGGGTACAATGAGGGAAGGAATAAAAGATGAATTCAGTTTATTTTCTTTCAAAGGCAAAAAGAAAGGTGTCTTGGGAATCCTAACAAAGAAAACACACTAAGTCTGTGGAAAACATAAAGGCAGGTAAATACCTGTAGTATGTCCTGAAATAAACATATTTTATATTATAGATGATTGTATTTAACACAGTATGTCTTTTAGTCTCCACAACATTCCTCTAAGTTATATACAATTACACCTGCTTAATAAATGAAGAAACTGAGACTCAGATGGTCTAAATTATGTATCCATGTGTCCCACAAACATTCAGGGAGCACCTACTAGGCATCAAATCGAGGTTCTGTAACCAATCAGTGACTGAACCATGGTTCCAAGCCAGGCCTCTGACTTTATAATGTGGTATTTCTGCTGTCAAATTGCTCACAATATGGTTACAAAATATGAAAATATAAGTTATAATGCACTAAGTAAACTAAAATATAAGATTTATCCCCCAAAAGTACATGATAAACTTCCAAATGAACTGTACAGATTAAAAATATCAATGTCTGTGGTTTTGGAGGACTTTAGAAGTCTTCATACAGAAGTATGGGCTTGAGATGGACTTTTAGGATTTAGAGACGGTCTCAGGAATAGAAAGCATTTGCTCTGAGTTAATACAGGAAGTTTAAAAAGAACCCATTGAACACGTAGATCAAAAATACCAGTTCACTTAAGCAGTATTTGTTGATTCAATAAATACAATGTGCACAATTTCTTAAATCAGTAAACTCTGAGACTCCAAAATCATAATAATATTCAAGCGCCTATTAATTTATAACCCAGTTGAAGAGATAAGACATGAAATTATAAAATAATTAGTGATGAGACCTAACAGCATTATAGAGTTATGTAATAAACCATTTAGCTGTCTAAATCAAGGAATGTCATAATAAATGATAAGATGATGGTTGTCTAAACAGTAAGAGCCAAAGGAATTAGAAACAAAGTAAATGTGACCTCTTGATGATTTTGGAAGTTCCAGGAAGAAAAAATCACTGGAGCAAATTAAAGAGAGAAAGAGAGAGGGTGTGTGCGGATGTACCGGTGTGTGTGTGTGTGTGTGTGTGTGTGTGTGTGTTTGCACCTCTGTTGTTTTTCCAGGAAAGGTAGATCTAACATTGTGTTTTAGTCTTTCCGTATTTTTTTCAAGTAAATGACTTCCTAATACTCTAAGAGGAAACGCATGTGATAGTTTTCTTTTCTCTTAAGTATACAATTTTTAATAAGTTCCTATTTCTTAGAATTTTGTATTGTAATTGTCATTTTAATTTTCCTGAGGCTATAAATCTTAACTTCCTACTTGATTCAAGGCACAAGGATAAACTTCTTAGAATGGAAGTTTTTGTGTGTTTTATAAGTGTTTTTTTTCTGGAAAATATTTTTAATTTTTTCTTTTGTTAAAATTTGAAACAAATATGACAAACTGCTGATATTTATTACACCTGGGTAATGGGAACATAAATATTTTATTAATGCACTATATTGTATAATGTTATATTATACTTCTATATACTGTAAACATATGAAATATATAGTATTGTATTACAATTAAATTTTTCAAAATAGACACAAACTCTTCCCAAGTTATTGTACTCCCAAGTTCTTGGCAGCAGGAACACTCCTCACAGTAACATCCTGCACCCAGCATCAACATGAATTTACATATTTAAATATTAACAGGATTTAGAGTTGGTCTCAGGAATAGGGAGCATTTGTCTTATTCTGTTCCAGGATCCCACCTGGATACTGGATTATATTTTGTTGTTATGTCTTCTAAGGCTCTTCTTGGCTATGACAGTTTCCTTGTTTTTAATGACTTTGAGAGTTTTGAGGACTGCATGTCAGGTATATTGTAGAATGTCTCTCAACTGGGATTTGTCTAATGTTTTCCCTTGATTATACTGGGTTTATGGGTCTTGGAAGGACGATCACATAGGTAAAGTGCCATTCTCACCACATCATATCTAGGGTTCATACTATCAACACGCTTAATGGCTTTGATGTTGGCCTCAATTACCTGGATGTGATAGTGTTTGTTCAGTTCTTCCATTGTAAAGTTACTTCCCCCCACCCCCACTGACTCTCATCTCTTTGCAAGGGAAGTCACCCTGCACAGCCCATGCCTAAGGAGTGGGGAGTGTCTACATCAATTATTTGGAATTTTTCTGCATGGAGAATTTGTCTCTTTTCCCCTATTTATTAATTTATTCAATTATCTGTTTCTATCAGTGTGGACTTGTGGATGTTTATTTTCTACTTTAGGTTATAATCCAATACTATGTTATTTTGTTGCTCAAATTGTTCCAGCTTTAGCCATTGGCAGCTCTTTTAGTTAGTTCCTGCAGGGCATATATTTTTATATAAGTATGCTATCTTATATGACATTCAGACTGTTGTATATATTCATTTTTAAATGTCAATTTATTCAAATTATAAAAGTAATACATGCTATGAGAGATAGATTTAATAATACAAAATGCATAAAAAGCTAAAGTCATATACAGCACATAACTCAGTATGAACATTTTAACATATTAAGCTTACTTAACACATTCTTTGGTCCTCAAAGGAACACAGTATGGAAAATATGTTGATGAAAGAGAATATTTGTCTCTGAATTATTTATTGATTTCTTCCTAATTAAAAAGAGAAATAGGCTGGGCGCGGTGGCTGAGGCATGTAATCCCAGCACTTTGGGAGGCTGAGGCTGGTGGATCACCTGAGGTCAGGAGTTCAAGACCAGCCTGGCTAACATGGTGAAACCCCGTTTCTACTAAAAGTACAAAAAATTAGCTGGGCATGGTGATGCGCGCCTGTAATCCCAGTACTCGGGAGGCTGAGGCAGGAGAATCGCTTGAATCCGGCAGACGGAGGTTGCAGTGAGCCGAGATTGTGCCATTGCACTCCAGCTTGGGCAACAAGAGTGAAACTCCGTCTCAAAAAAAAAAAAGAAAAAAAAGAAAAAGAGAAATATATATATTTTTCTTTTCTCTTAAGCACACAATTTTAATAAGTTCCTATTTCTTAGAATTTTGTATTGTAATTGTCATTTTAATTTTCCTGAGGCTGTAAATCTTAACTTCCTACTTTATTCAAGGCACAAGGATAAACTCTTAGAATGGAAGTTTTTGTGTGTTTTGTAAGTGTTTTTTTGTAAGATGTGATCAATGATTCAAATCACTTAGTATAACATTTTATTAAAAAAATAATTTTGCAAATTACTTGGCAATTAAAATGGTTATCATACATCCCTTCTTTGTAATTCATACAGACCAATACCTAAAAGTATAAAGAGCTAAGCCATTGTTGATGTACAGCTACTTAATAGAATATTACCGGTAGGATGATTATGATTTTTACTCAAAAAATGGCAAGAGATTCCAACCAACTAATCGAATGAAGAATGAGTTTCCAGAAAACACATTTCTCAGTACTGAGAATAAAGCAGAAGAGGAAAACTAAGTAAGACACTACACAGCCAAGCACTGGCCCCCAAACTCTAGAATCTTACTAGCAGGGTCTGGAATTTTTAGTTTTAAATTGATGGTAAAGATGAAGACCTGTAAGGAATATGTACATTCGCATTTTTATTCCTGATATTTTAATTTTAATAAATCTCTTTGCCATTAAAAGTTTACGTTTGAACCTTTTTTTTTCCTAAAAAGTGTATACGGCTATTGTATTTTTTGAGTCTTTGCAAAATCTCTCAGACTATTCTTTTCTTGTCCCCATAAATAAAAGAACGTTAATTCTAATTGTAATGGTTTCTGACTTGAAATTCCTATACTTTTAAAAATGGAAATTGAGTTTCTGATCTCCAGTTTTTGTCTTCTGAGGAAAGCTTTCAAGTTTAAATAAACTATTTGAAGCTACCTGGGTTTTAAATTAATATTCATTTATTACAGTAGAAATTTTAAAACCTAGGTTTTTTCAAGGTTTTATGTCTTTTGTCAATCTTATAAACTTATGTATTGAGTCAATGTTTTACAAATCAGAACTATTACTTCTGGAAGAGGCTTTGATAAGTGTTCAATTACCTCAATTTTTAAAAATTAGACTATTTACAAATTTAGTAAATTAAATTATTTAAATATTTTAAATGCATTCCTAATTACATTCAATTTTCTTTTTAAATACTTTAAAATTTGGAGCCCTATCAAGTTTTTCCTAAATACTTAATCATACACTTAATAAATTAACTTACAAATATAGTTAATCTCAAATACCTTAAGCACACAATACAGTTTATTTATTTTGGCAAATTATTTTATAACATTCAGCTTAATTCCAAAACTCTAAAATTAATCACATAGTTTATTAGGAATTGCAAGCTTTATATGTCACAATCTCTTAAACACTACAAACATTTTAAATTCAAATATTGGGAGACTATCCAAAACTTATTCTCCTTTATTTTTTTTTTTTTTTTTTTTTTTTTTTGACAGAGTCTTACTCTGTCGCCAAGGCTGGACTGCAGTGGCACGATCTCGGCTCACTGCAACCTCTGCCTCCTAGGTTCAAGCAATTCTCCTGCCTCAGCCTCCTGAGTAGCTGGGAGTACAGGTGAGCACCACCATGCCTGGTTAATTTTTGTATTTTTTAGTAGAGACAGGGTTTAACCATATTGGCCAGGCTGGTCACTTATTCTTAAACCTAGCACATAAATTGTAAATCTACAAGTTTGGTTTACCTTTTATTATTAATTTCCCAGGGATGAAAAACTATTTGTGTAAAGAAAACCAGAGTAATACTATTAACATGACATTACCTGATAAGATGAATTGACACTACTTTCAGGTGGAATTGAAGTTATTGTCTTTGTTCGGGCTGCTATAACAAAGTAACATAAGTTAGATGGCTTTCAAACAATAGAAATTTGTCTCTTACAGTTCTAGAGGCTGGGAAGTTCAAGATCAAGGGGCCAGCAGATTCAGTGTTTGGTGAAGACCAGCTTTCTGGTACATAGATGACCATCTTCTCTTTGCACCCTCACATGGTGCAAGGGGGGTGAGAGAGCTCTCTGGAGTTTCTTTTATTAAGAGCACTAATCCTATTCATGAGTGCATACTGTTATGATACATAACAGAGAACAGCACTTAGCATTTCCCTCTGCAATATTTATTACACTGTTTCAGAATTATTCTGTAATAGCAGGGGGTCGGGGGTTGAGGAATGGTCATAGAATGAGTTTAACCGGAGGCTTTCTGTAAAAGGCAGTGAGGGATTATTGAGGATTTGTGAGTAGAGGGGTAAAGGAATCTGCCTTATATTTTAGGAAGACTGACCTGACAGTAGTTTGGAGAAAGGGTTCAAGTAGGGTGAGATTGGAGGCTAGCAGATCAGAAGGTCTGAGGATTTTGTCCAGGAAAGTGATGAGTCTGAACCATAATGAGACAAAGAACAGGGAAAGTATTAATAAGTTACATTGACTAGCATAGGTAATAAATAGGATGTGGAAGGTGAGAGAGAAAAAGATGGTGAGGATGCTTGAGTTTTCTAGGTTAAATAATTCCTCATTAAGATGAAACACACAGCTGGGGTGTTTCTTCCCTATGTTACTATTTCCAGCTTTCCAGATAGATTAATCTTCTGCAAAAGAGGTTTCCAGGAACACTATGATGAAGAAATGAGTTTTCTATTAGTTTATCAGTTTGTGTCACAGGCCTTAGCAATTTCCTGCCCAGAATCTGCATAAAAACATCTTAGCCCAAGATGGGAAGTGATGGCAATACTATGTAGACCTGAACTCTTCTGAAATGCATGTCTAAGTATTCCTGACCAGGAACGATGTGCTCTGAAATGATGCTGCCTACTGCTCCAAGCAAGTGATGAAAATATGCAAGTATTGCTCAGAAGGCATGTCTAATTGGATAGTATCCTTTTGGGTGGCAAGGAGAAACTATCCTGTAAGAAAACAGGATGTAGAGAGTATTTGTCTGCCAAGATTCTTCCCAACTGCTGTTTCGCAATGGTCAAATTTTTGTCCCACAAGGAGATAATGTCCCTGCACTTCTGGGTTGTGTCATCCAGTCTCTTCAGTGACATCTTGAGATGCTAGGTCCCAAACTTTGCTGTGTAGTGTTTATTTAAAACCAGAACTGATGGTAAGAACCAGAAACTCCAGGTGTGCATGTGTTCAGCCAAGGCAAAAGATCCAACACACTCAGGGAAAGTTACTGAGTGTTCTCAGGCAGCAGAACAATGAGGATTAAGGAGAAATTAGGGTAGTGACAGGTGGGGTAGTAGCTGTGAAGATAGGTGGAGTTGGAGGAAACTGAAGGGGTCATAAGATCCATGTCCCATACATAATTCATCCTTCTTTTTCACTGGCGGAGGCATCACACTAAGTGTTTGATACATATCACCTGATCTTCACATCAACCCTATACACGTTTTACACATAAGGACATTAAGGTTCAGAGGCATAATATGTGTTGACAAAGGCCACATGGCTAGTAAGTGTTGAGGCTAGAATTCAAACCCAGTTTGCTTGGTTCTAACACCTGAGATTTTTCTATAGGTCACACTGATCTAGTAGATAACTAAAAGTTGTTTATGAGGGTTAAACTTCTATGCTTTTGTCCTCTTATAGGCTACATTATAACATACTTCCTATGTTAAAATTTAATGTCTCAGAAAACTGAACTAAAATCTCCTGCCCATTCTCACATATTTTCTCCAAATGAAGTAGGTAGGAATCTACATAGTATGAATAAAAGAGTTACTTTACATATGCAATGATTCTTGGCTTCTGTAGTTATTAAAGAATTATGAAGCTAATGGTATCCCAAAAACTACATACAATGTTGAATCAGGAAGAAATTGAAATCCTTAACAGAACAATAATGAGTCCTGAAATTGAATTGTTAATAAAAAACCTACCAACCAAAAAAACCCTGAAACAAATCGAATCACAGCTGAATTCTACCAGACGTACAAAGAAGGGCTAGTATCAATCTGACTGATGTTATTTCAAAAAATCTAGGAGGAGGGACTCCTCCCTAACTGATTCAGTGAGGCCAGCATCATTCTGATAGCAAAACCTGACAGAGACAAAACAACAACAAAATAATAATAAAACTTCAGGCCAATATCTCTGATGAATATAGACACAAAAATCCTAAAAAAAAATACCAAATCCAGCCGCACATCAAAAAGCTAATTCACCACGATAAGTATGCTTTATTTCTGAAAAGCAGTGTTAGTTCAAAATGCGTAAATCAATAAATGTGATTCGTTACATAAACAGACCTAAAAACCAAAACCACACGATCATCTCAATAGACACCGAAAGGGCTTGCAATAAAATTCAACATTCCTCTGTGTTAAAAACCAACAACAAACTAAGCATCAAAGGAACATACCTCAAAATAATAAGAGCCATCTATGACAAACTCACAGCCAATATCATGTTCATACTGAATGGACAAAAGCTGGTCACATTCCCCTTGAAAACCAGAACAAGAAAAGGATTTCCAATCTCATCACTCCTATTCAGAATAGTACTAGAAGTCCTAGCCAAAACAATCAGGCAAGAGAAAGAAAGAAAAGACATGCAAATAGGAAGAGAGGAAGTCAAACTATCTCTCTTCACAGATGATATGATTTATACTTAGAAAATCCCACAGTCTCTGCCCAAAGGGTCCTAGAACTGACAGACAACTTCAGTAAACTTTCAGGATATAAAATCAATGTACAAAAATCAGTAGCATTTCTAGACACCAATAACATTCAAGTTAAGAGCTAAATTAAGAACAAAATTCCACTTACTATAGCCTTAAAAAGAACAAAATATCCAGGAATACAGCTAACCAAGGAGATGAAAGACCTCAACAACAAGAATTACAAAATACTACTGAAGTAAATAAGTGATCACGATGCTATTTCTATCAAACAATCTGCATCATTTTTCACAGAATTAGAAAAAAAGGCTCTAAAATTTATATGGAACACAAAACAGCCCAAATAGCCAAAGCAATCCTGAGCAAAAAGAACAAAGCCGGAGGCATCATACTACCCAACTTCAAACTATACAAGACTACAGTAACCAAAACAGCATGGTACCAGCACAAAAACAGACACATAGACCAAGGGAAAAGAAAAGAAAATCCAGAAATAAAGTGATACACCTACAATCATCTGATCTTTGACAAAGTTGACAAAAACGAACAATGGGGAAAGAACTCCCTATTCAATAAATGATGCTGAGATAATTGGCGAGCTGTATGCAGAAGATTGAAACTGGATCCCTTCCTTTCACCATATACAAAAATTATGCCAAGATGGATTAAAAAATTAAATGTAAAACCCAACACTATAAAAATGCTAGAGGAATACTTAGGAAGTACTATTCTGTACATAGGCCTTGGCAAAGATTTCATGAAAAAGACTCCAAAAACAACTGCGGCAAAACCAAAAATTCATAAGCAGGGCCTAATTAAACTAAAGAGCTTCTGCACAACAAAAGAAACTATCAACAGAGTAAATAGGCAACCTGCAGAATAGGAGAAAATACTTGCAAACTATGTATCCAACCTACAGAATAGGAGAAAATACTTGCAAACTATGTATCCAACAAAGGTCTAATATCCAGAATCTATAAGGAACTTAAATTTACAAGCAAAAAAAAAAAAAATATACAACAACAAATAACCCCATTACAAATGGGCAAAGAAAATGAACAGACACGTCTCAAAAGAAGACTTACAAGAGGCCAACAAACATGAAAAAATGCTCACGATCACTAATCATCAGAGAAATGCAAATCAAAACCACAATGAGATACCATCTCACACCAGTCAGAATGGATATTGTTAAAAAGTCAGGCCTGGCACTGTGGCTCACGCCTGTAATCCCAGCACTTTGGGAGGCCGAGGTGGGTGGATCATGAGGTCAGGAATTCAAGACCAGCCTGGCCAACATGGTGAAACCCTGTCTCTACTAAAAATACAAAAATTAGCTGGGCGCGGTGGCAGGCGCCTATAATCCCAGCTACTTGGAAGGCTGAGGCAGGTGAATCGCTTGAACCTGGGAGGTGGAGTTTGCAGTGAGCCGAGATCACGCCACTGCACTCTAGCATGGGCGACAGAGTGAGACTCCATCTCAAAAAAAAAAAAAAGTCAAAAAATAGCAGATGTTAGTGAGGTTGTGAACACTTATAAATTGCTGGTGGGACTGTAAATTAATTCAGCCACTGTTGAAAGCAGATTGGAAATTTCTCTAAGAACAAAAACAAAACTACCATTTGACCCAGCAATCCCATTACTGAGTATATACTCAAAGTATATATCTATTCTACCAAAAAGATACATACACTCATATCTTCATTGCAGCACTATTCACAATAGCAAATATACGGACTCAATCTATATACCTATTAATGGTAGGCTGGAAAAAGAAAATGTGGCACATATACAGCCATATAATACTATGCAACCGCAGGAAAAGCAAAATCATGTTCTTACCCGAAACGTGCATGCAGCTGGAGGCCATTATCCTAAATGAATTAACACAGGAACAGAAAACCAGATACCACATGTTCTCACTTATAAGTGGAAGCTAAACATTGAGTACACATGGGCACAAAGGTGAGAACAATAAACACTGAGGCCTGCTTACAGGGAGAGGGTAGGTGGAGGATGAGGTTCAAAAAACTACCCTTTGGGTACTATGCTCACTACCCGGGTGATGAAATCATTTGTACTCCAAAGTACGGTGATACACAATTTACCCATCTAACAAACCACACAAAGACCCCCTGCATCTAAAATAAAAGTTGAAAAAAAATAAAATTTGTTTGTTTTTAAAAAGTTATGCAGAAAAGGCAAAACAAGATGGTCAAATAAAAGTCTCCAGCAATTATTTCCTTCACAGGAGCACCAAATTTAACAACTATCTACAAATAAGAACACCTTTATAAGAACCAAAAATCAGGTTAGCAATCATAGTACCTGGTTTTGACATCAAATTAAGGAAAGAGGCACTGAAGAGGAGCATAAAGGTAGTCTTGAATTGCCTATACCACCCCTCCCTGATTCCCCTACAGTGGCTGCATGGCACAGAGCCAAGTTCAATCTGCGAACTTGGGGAAGGGAGAGTATATGATTGTAGGACTTTGCATTGGAGCCCAGTGTGGACCTGTCACAGCGGAAAGCAATACCAGGCAGAACTTAGCCAGCATATACAGAGGAAGAATTTAGACCAGCCCTAGCCAGAGGCAAATCATCCATCCCAGCTATTGGAACCTGAGTTCTGTCAAGCCCTGCTACTGTGAGCTAAAATTCCCCGGGGTCATAATAAACTTAAAGACCAGCCTAGTCCACAAGGACTGCAATTCCTGGGCAAGTTCTGGTGTTGTGCTGGCTCAGAGACAGAGGACTTTTGGAACACACGACCTAGTGAGATACCAGCTGAGGTGGCCAAGGGAATGCTTGTGTTTCCCTTCCCCAGCCCCCAAAAGTGTAGCTCATAGCTATGGGAGAGATTCCTTCCCTCTGCTTGAGAAGAGAAACAAGAGAAAAGAGGACTTTGTCTTATAACTTGGATACCAACTAAGCTACAGTAGGATACGGCACCAGGCAGAGTCCAGGCCCTAGCTCCTAAGACAACGTTTACAGATGTACTTTGTGCCAGAAGGGAAGCCAGTGACTTGAAAGGAATGAGGCAATCCTGGCAGAATTCATTACCTGCTGACTAAAGAGCCCTTGGGCATTCCATAATCAGCAATGGTAGCCAGGTAGTACTTGCTACAGGCTTTGGGTAAGACTCAGAGCTGTGCTGGCTTTAGGGTGTGACCCAGCACAATCCAGTTGTGGTGGCTACAGGGAGAGGCTCCTTCTGCTTGAGGAAAGGAGAGGGAAGGGTAAAGGGGACTTTGCCTTGCAGCTTGGGTACCAGCTTAGCCACAGTGGGGTAGAGCACCAAGTGGACTCCTGAGGTCCCCAACTTTTGGCTTTGGTTCTTGGATGGCATTTCTGCAACTGCCCTGGGTGAGAGGGGAGCCCACTTCCCTAAAGAGAGTCCCAGGCCTGGCAGCATTCACCAAATAATGACTGAAGAGTCCTTGGGCCTTGAGTGAACATTGGCGGTGCCAGGCAATACTTGCCATGGGCCTGAGTGGTGGTGGCCATGGGGAGTCCTGTTTGAGGAAATGGCAGGGAAGAGTGGGGAGGGCATTGTCTTGCAGCTTAGGTGCCAGCTCAGCCAGAGTAGAATAGAGTGCCAGGTAGATTCCTAAAGTTCCTGTCTCCAGGCCTTGGCTCTTGAAAGTATCTCCAGATCCACGCAGGGCTGGGAGGAACTCACTGTCCTGAAGGGAAAGACACAAGCCTGGCTGGTCTTCCACCTGCTGATTGTAGAGCCCATGGGCCTAAAGTGAACATAGGCAATAGCCAGGCATTTGTCACTGCAGGTCTTTGATGCATCCCAGTGCTGTGCTGGCTTTGGGTGGAGTCCCAGGGATGGAGGCCACAGGGGTACTGTGTCACCCACTCCCACAGGTCCAGGCAGCTCAGCACAGAGAGAGAGAGAGAGAGAGAGAGAGAGAGAGAGAGAGAGAGAGAGAGAGAGACTCTTTATCAATGGGAAAGTAAGAGAAGAGAAGAATAATTGTTGGTAAACCAGGCAATTATCCTGAATTTTATCCCAGACCACCAAGGCAGTACATTTATGAGTCTGCAAGAGCCACAGTGTTACAGATACAGCTGCAGTGGCCAAAACAGATACAGCTGCAGTGACCAAAGATTTAGATCACAACACCCAAGTCCCTTTAAATACTTGGAAAGCCTTCCCAAGAAGGATGGGTACAAAAAAGCCCAGACTGTGAAGACTACAATAAATACCTAAGTCCCCAATGCCCAGACACCAACAAACATCCACAAGCATCAAGACCACCCAGGAAAACATAATTTCACCAAATGCATAAATAAGACCTCAAGAGCAATCCTGGAGAGACAGACATCTGTGACATTTCAGACAGAGAATTTAAAATAGCTATTTTGAAGAAGCCCAATGAACTCCAAGATAACACAGAGAAGGAATTCAGAATCCTGTCAGATAAATGTAACAAAGAGACTGACATAATTACAAAGAATCTTCATCAACACCAGACCTGTCCTACAAGAAGTGCTAGCTAAAGAGAGTTCTTCAATCTGAAAGAAAAAGACCTTAATGGGCATTAAGAACTCATCTGAAGGTATAAAACTCACTGGTAATAGTAAGTACGCAAAACACAGAATATTGTAAACTGTAATTGAAGTGTGTAAGCGACTCATATCTTGAGTAGAATACTAAAAGATGAACCTATAAAAAATAACTACAGAAACATTTCAAGAAATACACAACATAATAAGATATAAAAAGAAACAACAAAAAAGTTTAAAAATGGGGGGATGAAGTTAATGTGTGGGGTTTTTATTAGTTTTCTCTTTGTTTGTTTGTTTATGCAATCAGTGTTAAGTTCTCATCAGTTTAAAGATAGTATAAATTATAAGTAATCAGTTTAAAGATAGTATAAGTAATAAGATAGTATAAGTTATAAGATATTATTTACAAGCCTCATGGTAACCTAACATCAAAAAACATACAACAGGTACACACAAAATAAAAAGCAAGAAATTAAAACATACCAGCTGAGAAAATTGTCTTCACAAAAAAGAAGACAGGAAGGAAGGAAAGAAGGAATAGAAGACCACAAAACAACCATAAAACACATAACAAAATGCCAGGAGTAGTCCTTACCAATCAATAATAACATTGAATGTAAATGTACTCAACCCTTTAATCAAAAGACATAGTGGGTGAATAAATAAATAAGCAAGACCTAATGATCTGTTGCCTACCAGAAACACATTTTACCTATAAATACAAGCATGTCTTTTTGCATGACTATAAAATAGTTTTTGGTTTTTGGAAAAGATAAACAAAACTATAGATTAGTCATGCAAAAAGATATCCAACACAAATGAAATTCAAAAAAGAGCAGGAGTAGCTGTAGTGATATCAGACAAAATAGATGCCAAGACCAAAAGTATAAAAAGAAACAAAAAAGGTCATCATATAATGATAAAGTGGTCAATTCAGCAAGAGGACGAAACAATTTTAAATATATATTCACTCAACAGATATATAAAGCAAATATTATTAGAGCTAAAGAGAACAATAGACCTCAATACAATAGTAGCTGGAGACTTCAACACCCCACTTTTAGCATTGGACAGATCATCCAGACAGAAAATCAACAAAGTAACATAGGGCTTAATCAGCACTATATAACAAATGGACCTGATAGATATTTACAGAACATTTCATCCAATGGCTGCAGAACACACATTCTTCCTCTCAGCACATGGATCATTCTCAAGGATAGACCATATGGTAGGCCATAAAACAAGCCTTAAAACATTCAAAAACATTGGCCAAAATAAAATAAATCTAGAAATCAATAGCAAGAGGAGTTTTGGAAACTTCACAAACATGGAAATTAAACAATATGCTCCTGAATGACAAATGGGCCAATGAAGAAATTAAGAAGGAAATTTAAAAATGTCTTGAAACAAAACAAAATGGAAACAAAAAATACCAAAACCTATGGGATTCAGTAAAAGTAGTACTAAGAGGAAAGTTTATAGCAATTAGCACCTACATCAAAAAAGTAGAAAAACTTCAAATAAACAATATAACAACGCATCTTAAAGAAATAGAAAAGCAAGAGCCAACCAAACACAAAACTGGTAGAAGAAAATAAATAATGAAGGTCGGAACAGAAATAAATGAAATTGAAACAAATAAATACAAATAATCAATGAAACAAAAAGTTGGTTTTTGGAAAAGGTAAACAAAACTGAAAAACCTTTAGCCTGACTAACTAAGAAACAAAGACACCTAAATAAATAAAATCAGAGATTAAAAAGGAAACATTACAACTGATACTGCAGAAATTCAAAGGATCATTCATGGCTGCTATGAGCAACTATATTCCAATAAATTGGAAAATCTAGAGGAAATGGATAAATTCCTAGGTACACACAACCTACCAAAATTGAACCATGAGGAATCCAAAACCTGAACAGGCAGATAACAAGTAATGAGATTGAAGCCTGTAATAAAAATAAAAAAGCTAATGGCTTTACTGCTGAATTTAGCTAAACATTTAAAGGAAAACTAATGCCAATCCTACTCAGACTATTCTGAAAAATAGACTAGGATGGAATACTTTCCAACTTATCACATGAGGTCAATATGACCCTGATACCAAAACCAAAGAAAGGCACATTAAAAAAAGAAAACTATAGGCCAACATCCCTAATGAACATTGATGCAAAAGTCCTCAATAAAATACTAGGAAACCAAATTCAACAACACATTAAAATGATCATTCATTATGATCAGGTGGGATTTATTCCAGGAATGTAAGGATAATTAACATATGCAAATCAATCAATGTGATACATCATATAAACAGAGTAAAGGACAAAAATCATATGATCATTTCAATTGATGCTGAAAAGGCATTTGATAAAATTCAACATCTCTTCATGGAAAAAACCCTCAAAAAACTGAGTATAGAACAAATATATCTCAACATAATAAAAGCCATATACAACAGACTCACAACTAGTGTCATATCAAGTGGGGAAAAATTGAAAGCCTTTCCTCTAAGATCTGGAACACAACAAGGATGCCCACTTTCACCACTGTTATTCAACCTAGTACTGGAAGTCCTAGCTAGAGCAATCAGACAAGAGAAAGAAATAAAAGGCTTCCAAATTTAAAAGGAAGAAGTCAAGTTATCCTTGCTTGCAGATGATATGATCTTGTTTTTAGAAAAACCTAAGACTTCACATACACACACACAAACTATGAGAACTGAAATTCAGTCAAGTTGCAGGATATAAAATCAACATACAATAATCAGTAGTATTTCAGTATGCCATTAGCTAACAAATTGAAAAACAAAAAAGTAGTCTCATTTAGTAGCTAAAAATAAAATAAAATACCCAAGAATTAACCAAAGAAGTGAAATATCTCTACAATGATAACTAAAAAACACTGATGCAAGAAATTGAAGAGGATACCAAAAAGAGAGAGAAAAATACTCCATGTTCATGGATTAGAAGAATCAATATTGTTAAAATGTCTATACTACCCAAAGAAATAATCTACAGACTTAATGCAATCTCTATCAAAATAACCATGATATCTTCACATAAATAGAAAAATAATACTAAAATTTATATGAAACCACAAAAGACCCAGAATAGTGAAGTAATCCTGAGCAAAAAGAACAAAATGAGAGGAATCACATGATCTGACTTCACATTACACTACCGAGCTACAGTAACCTGAACAGCATGGTACTGGCATAAAAAAAAGATATATATACCAATGGAACAGAATAGATAACCCAGAAATAAATCCATGTATCTACAGTGAACTCATTTTTTACAAAGGTGCCGAGAACATGCAATGAAAAAAGGACGGTCTCTTCAATAAATGGTGCTGAGAAAACCAGCTATCCATAAGCAGGAGAATGAAACTAGAGCCATATTTCTCACCATATACAAAAACCAAATCAAAATGGATTAAAAATATAAATATAAGACCTCAAACTATGAAACTACTAAAAGAAAACATTGGGGAAACTCTATAGGATACTGGACTGGACAAAGATATCTTGAGTAATGCCCCAAAAGCACAGGCAACTAAAGCAAAAATAGACAAATGGGATCACATCAAGTTAAAAAGCATCTGCACAGCAAAGGAAACAGTCAATGAAGTGAAGAGGCAATCAAGAGAGTGGGAGAAAATGTGTGCAAACTATCCATCTGACAAATGATTAATAACCAGGATATATAATCAGCTCAAACAACTCTATAGGAAAAAATCTAATAATCCAATGAAAGAATGGGCATAAGACATAAATAGACTTTTCTCAAAATAAGACATACAAATGGTAAACAGTTATGCTCAATATCAGAGAAATGAAAATCAAAACTACAATAAGTTATCATTCACCCCAGCTAAAACTGCTTTTATCCAAAAGATAGGCAATAACGAATGATGGTGAAAACGTGGAGAAAAGGAACCCTTATACAGAGTTGGTGGGAATGTAAATTAGCACAACCACTATGAAGAACAGTTTAGAGGTTCCTCAAAAAACTAAAAAAAGAACTGCCATATGATTCAGCAATCCCATTGCTACGTATACACTCAAAAGAGAGGAAACCATTATATTGAAGGGATATCTGCACTCCATGTTAATTGCAATAGCTAAGATTTGGAAGCAACCTAAATGTTCCTTAACAGATGAATGAATAAAGAAATTTGGCACATATACATAATGGAAAACTATTCATCCATATAAAAGAATGAGATCTGCCATTTTTAAAAGCATGGATGGAACTGGAGGCCATTATGTTAACTGAAATAAGCCAGGCACAGAAAGACAAACTTTGCATGTTCTCACTTATTTGTGGTAGCTAAAAAAATGAAAACAATTGAACTCATGTAGATAGAAAGTAGAATGATGGTTACCAGAGGCTGAGAAGTGTATTGGGGGTGGGGGTGGGGGTGGGAGGGTAGAGGTGGGGCTGGTTAATGGGTACAAAACTATACTTAGAAAGAATAAATAAGATCTAGTATTTGATATCACAACAGTGTAGCTACAATCAACAATAATTTATTGTGCATTTAAAAACAACTAAAAGTATGATTTAATTTTTTGTAACACAAAGAAAGGATAAATGCTTAAAGTGATGAATACCCCATTTATTCTGATGTGATGATTTTTATGCATTGCATGCCTGTATCAAAATGTCTCATGTACCCCATAAATATATATTACTATTCTGTACCCACAATATTTTTTAAAAATTAACCATGTGTACATGCACACACACACATACAAAGTAAAGAGATAGAAGAAAAAAAGACTATAGTCCAAATTCTGTCTTTACCTATGAGCTATGTAACTAGAGCGGGTGGGGGTTTCGGGAGAAGAAGAAATATTTAACTTCTCTGAGCCTCAGTTTCATAATTTGTAAAATGGAGACATAAATACAGTTCATGGGTTTTTGTTGGAATAAGACAATGTGTCTAAAGTGTCCCGCTGTGGGCCAGTCACTTGGTAATTGTGCAGCAATATTTATTCTTCTTGGTGGTGATTTTTAACTTATTTTCAACATGGATTTTAAAAAGCTGATGAACAAAAGGCATTGCTTCCTAGACAAATTTATTTGCAAGCCAAATTTAATATATAATTTTAGAGGATTCAAAGCCCCTTGAAGACCATCTACAGGTTCCTTATTTCTGAAGGGGTTATCAATGGGAACACATTAGGGATTTAGATCTCTGTGCTGCACCTCTGAATTAAAATCTCAGGCATGAGTACAGTCCTCCACATTTTAAACATCCCTCCCACCAAGTAATCATGCACGCTCACTGCCGTATGTTAAATGACCACAGTTAAGATGACCAACCTGCCATCCTGGGTTGCAAAAGAATGCTACCAATGTGCACTCAGAATGTGTTTATATGTGCTTGGCTTGGCTTTTCCACTAGACAGCAAGCTCCCAAGTAGTGCAAACTCTCTTCAACATCTTCCTTTGCATGCACACATGGTATAGGTGCTCTGACTTGAGTGGCTTCTTCATCAAGGAGGTTCAATTCTTGGTGCTGCAGGAAAATTAGCCATGTGTGATGGCTTCTATTAGAGTCCAGCAGACGCTGACTATATTTAAGTTTGTAATGAATATTTTGCAATCTGTCCCTTGAGAAAAATGCAGTCTCTGAGATTTCCCAAGTCCCTCTGTAAGTATCAAATAGTTCCTGATTAAGTCAGTGCTACAAAGTCAAAGGCACAAAATCAGCAAAGGGTAAATCCCCTATAGATTTGAATCAACTGTGCCTTCAATAAATGCCTATGTACTTTATCTGCATAGTAAATGCCTTTGAAATATAATTCTTGTGGATGTTGTTGGGATTCAGGACATTCTGCCCCAAAATATGGCACCTCGGAACTTGAAAAAATAGCAGAAGCAGGAAGGTCACTCTCACCTTACACTGCCCTTCTCCCCTTAAGCAGGTCGTAAGACCCTCATTCAAGAGGTACCTTCCCTATACCCAGAGGAAAGAAGCATTCTTATCTTCAAAGACACAGAAATGTCAAGAGGAATCTGAACAAACAGGCTTTGCTAAGTTCTTCTCAATTACTACCGTTAGATCATACCACCGTTGTCCAATCCTACTTGCTCATGTCCATCCATCTCATCAAACCCAGCATTAAAAATAAACAAGTTTACCTGTGTCTTTGGATCTTTTTTTTTTTTTTCTTTAGGACAGAGTCTAGCTCTGTCTCTCAGACTGGAATGTAGTGCTGCAATCATAGCTCACTGCAGCCTCAAACCCCTGGGCTCAATTGATCTCCCCTCCTCTGCCTCCCCAGTGGCTGGGACAACAGGTCTTTGGATCTTCATTTCTGAAGGCTTCTGTGTCACATCAAACTTATGTTAAATAAATTCGTAATGCTTCTCTCCTGCTAATCTGTCTGTGTCAGCTCTCTCAGGGACCCTAAGAGGGTTGAGAAAAACCTTCCTCCCATATTATATAAATATATATGGAAAAAATAATCCCACATAATTCCACTGCCTGGAGATAGTCACCTTTAAGTTTTCATGATTATCCGTTCATGTCTATACAGAGATACATTTAGACATGGAAGGAAACATAGGTCATTTCCTTGGGAAGCCTCCCCCTGATCTTCCACCCACGCCCCAGTCTAAATAAGGTTTTCTTGCTATATCAGTTCATAGCATCTGTACTTTTTCTTGATATTCTTTATTAGAGTAGAAAATATTTAATTACTATATTTATTTTCTGCTGTATATTTTCATCATGAGGTAAACTCATTGTGGTAATAACATTGAGTACATTGCTATATGCGCAGCGTTTAGATGAGTGCTAGGATGTAGTTGGACAAATATTCAATACATATTTTTTCAGTTAACAAAATGTCACATTACAGGTGTGTACATATGTTTCTAAAGTCAGCGAGCTGTCGTCTCAATCATATTGCCAAATGCCATCAAGAAAGAATCACCTGGAAACAAACAAGGCCACTGTAGCTCTTGTTAGAAACCACTGGATCTTGTAAGCTGGAAACAGAATACAGAATAGGGACTTCACAACACATACACACACACACACACACACACCCCACATTTGTGAAAGACAGTATGAGGCACAGAAAGTACCTGGCTGACCTGAGCCTGGTCTGTTCACCTTAAAAAAAGCATCAGTTGAGAACTGACTCGGGGTGGGGGAAAAGCACCCACTCAGTTAACTCTAGATCTCAGGCCAGATGCCTGTTGGTGTTCAGTGAAAGTTCACTAGGCTTCCAGTGAAGGCATGACCATGATTTCCAACAAATGACACTACTCATGATATCAGGAGTCTCTCTGGAGTACAAGAATTCAGTTTGAATTGTCAGCAGCAAGAGGTGTGAATATGTACAAAGTCATCTTCTTGGAGCCTCAGTTTCTTTATCTTTAAAATGAGGGTAATAAGACCCACTGCAAAATGGAATATATATATCTGGTACACGTAAAATACAATATTCGTCCTTGAGGATGCAAAGATGACTTCAGCAAAGTCCTTGTCCTCCAGTATATATATACACATACACATATACATACATATACATACATATGTATGTATATGTGTATATATATATGTGTGTGTGTGCGTGTGTGTATGAAGTGATTTTATTATCTTGAATAATAGTATTATATTTATCCTGCATTTCAAAAAGGTAGATTAGTTTAGAAAGAAACTATTTTGTGGGTATGAAAAGCAAAACTTGATCCTTCTGTTGATACTAATTTATTTAACACCAAGTTTGTGCAAGGTGCTGTGATATATATGATGTATATGATGTCATATGATATATGATATATGATGTATATTTAGATATATGTGTATGCATGTGTGTGATATACATGATGCTTACAAATATATGAATTATATATACAGGTTAATATACAAAAGTTTATTGACTTATTTACGTACATATATATGGATTGATCTTCAAAACATCATATTGAGTGGAAATATCATGAGATATGTTAACATACAATCAACCTGGGAGGTGGAGGTTGTGGTGAGCCGAGATCGCACCACTGCACTCCAGCCTGGGCAACAAGAGCAACACTCCATCTCAAAAAAAAAAAAAAAAATGTAGGTACACAAGACAGCAATAAATAGTTCACATTACTACACACAAAGAGAAACGTGCATTTTAAATACATTAGAATGGCTACCTATTAGGAATGCCAATAGAAGTGGAGTCTGGGAATAAAATACATAAATGAAAAAATGTTTTCAAGTGTTCTTGCATGGACTGATGATAATACACCCAGACTGAAGAATAAGACAACCTCAAACCTCTCTTCACTCCCACCCTCCACAGGAAACCAGCACAGTAAACTTACCTGTTCTAACACTTGCTGTTATTGACAGTTAAGGGCGGAACATGAGGTAAGGCTGTGAGGTGATCTATCAGAGCTATTACTGATGTCGTCCATATTCTGGATCTTTATCCAAAGCTTACTGGCTCTAGGAAATAGAAGTCTGACAAGCATTATGTACATTTCATTTTCCTCATGTCACCTTCAGAAGCTGAAGAAATCTTGAAAGCCTTGGACTGCTGCCATCAGACATAACTAGCTGCCACTGCATTACCTTCCTGACTGTGCAGTAATTAAAATTTGCATCTTTACTGGATTGTTTTTAGAGTTAAGAAACGCATTTCCGTGAATGAAACTGGACACACAAGGCTACACAGAATATGATTCTATTTACATAAAATATCTGGAAGAGTTCGTCTCATTAAGACAGAAATCAGATTAGTGGTTTCCAGGGACTGAGGAGAGGGAGGGGTGGGGAGTGACTGCTTAATGGATTTTCTTTTGAGGTGAAGAAAATGTTCTGGCACTAGATGGAAGTGGCGATTGCACAACATTGTGAATGTGCTAAATGCCACGAAATTGTATACTTTAAAATGGTTAATTGTTATGTTATGTGATCTTCATCTCAATTGAAAACAAAAAGAGGAAAAGGAGAAAGGGACTTTCCGCATTCTAAGTTCTTAAGAAAGTCCTTTCTCAGTGAAAGGATGACTAAGGTGTTATGCATAGGTCAGTTGAGTGCTGAGTGGGCAGGGGGCGGGGTGGAGAAAAGGCCACAGGCACAAGTAGAATATAGGAGGATGAGGTGTAGAAAGTGCTGCAGTGGGGACCTTTCCCCATACTGATTTAGGGTCCCACTAATTCAGCAAATGCTCTTCTGCAGCTCTCCACACTGCAATTGACTCCAGCATGCATACTATACCCACTTCTCGTGAATTATCTCTTTTCCCAAAGGGGTGCCCATTCCCTGAAGGCTAGACCTTCAGCTCTTTCCTGTGGCACAACCTCCCCCAAGGCTTTATCCTATCCTGAGGCCAATCCATTCGAGCCTCTGGTGCAAGCAAAACACAATATTCGTCCTTGAGGATACAAAGATACCTTCAGCAAAATCCTTGTCCTCCAGTAGGACCAAGTCTATGTGGTCTGGATTCCCGTGATCTCCCTGAGCTCATCCACTGCAGCTGCACTGGCATCTTTGCTATGCCTCCTGAGTGCCTGGCGTGCTCTGGCCCTAGACCCTTGCTCTTGTTATTTTCTCTGTTTGAACAACTCTTCTTCAAGTCTTTGTTCCAATCTCACAGGGGCCTCTCCTCACCATTCTATTTAATAATACACCTTGCTTCTTCCCCTCACTGACTTCTCCCCAATCTCCTATACCCTGCATTACTTACCAGATCATATATCCCTTCCTAACATAAAGTATTTTATGTAATCATTATGTTTATTATTTTTCCATCTCCTGCTGCTGGAATCTCAACCTCAGAATAGCAGAGTCTTTGGATATTTTACTCACATTTTAATCAAAGGCCTAGAATGGTTCCTGCTGAAAAACAACTGTTGCTCAATAAATATTTGCTGAAAGATTTAAAAGCCCATGGTTCAATTTAAGCACTTTCCTTTCTCTATCAATGTGAAATTTGAATACAGCAAGTTTCCGTAGCTGCCTCTGACAACTTTGCTAAGAGTCTTCTTTGCTGTTACCTAAGAGGAGATTTGAATATCCACATTCAGGTGCTGGGGATATCACATTCGAGCTATTGTACCCTGGCCACAGGCCCAAGGTGCCAGACTGCACATCTCTCCTGCTATATTCACCTTTGAACTAGACCCTCTCTTAGGGCAACAGCTCAGCAGGGAGCACCCTCTGAGGAGTAAGGGGGCTAAGTCTCTCTTAAAGACCCTGAAAATACTGCCGGTGCTGGTTGAAAAGCCCTGGTGATCTGTGATAACCATAGTGACAGAAAACTCCGGGAGTTTTATGGAACCTCATTGCTAAATTTCCTGCACAACTGTTTCAGCACAGTGAAGCCCATGATTCAGCAATTGCTAAATGGCACTGGTCACTTACTAGGTGACAAAAATGAGCCCATGGGGGTACAAAGGCAAAGCTCAGGTGAATTCTATTGAGTCTGCCAGGTCCTATCACCAAATATCCCTGTAAATGGAGTGACATTGCTAGGGATGCTCTACAGATTACCTCCATCAAAGATTCAGATAACCATTGTTATCTGATTATTATCCAATTAACATCCTAACAATTGCTGTGAACATAAGGAGGTGAATAAAATATAGACTTCTGCCCTCAGTTAGTTAATCTAAGGGTAGTGGAGTGTTTGTAAAACTTTTACTCAAAATAGAGAAAAATAAATACCATTACATGAAAAGGTAAGAGAAACTTCTGTGCCTTAACCTCTCACTTTCTACTGGTATATATTTGCATAGTGTAGTTTCTCAAATTGTGGTCCCTAGGCCTTCATCATCTTGATACCTGCAGATGAATATGTAGTAGTATACAAACTCTAAGGCATAGGCCTGGACTTCTTGAAACATCTTTAGAAGCTGGGCCTTGAGGGTGTGTATTTTTAAAATTTCCTCATGTGATTCTTATATTAAAAGTTAAGAACCAGTGTTATGGTACGTTATAATTGATCACACTTGCATATATAGTTTATTATTGTGCCTGACAATTATAAGAAGAGCAGGCGAGATGTATCTCCATTTTGTGGATGAGCAAATTGAAACTCAGACATGGTAAATCCAAAGTTATACAGTTAGTTCACGGCAGAGCTAGAATTAGAACCTGGACTACCCGATTTCACATTTAATCCTTGCCTTACCCCATGCTGGCCTGTTTCTCTGTTGAGGAAAAAAAATGAATCAAAATGTGAAATGACAGACATTGTTTCCATAGGGAATAAGTCTTTTTCATACAAGCAGGGGCAAATTTTAGTACCAGGAGAAACACTGCCACCTTGTGGCCATGTGGAAGTGAAGCACAGCCTTGTCTGTCATTAGAGAAGTTGATTCCTCCCAGCCCCCACCAACCTCGCCGCTGCCTTGGTTGCACTGCTTTCAGTGATGGATTTGTGTTGAGCTATACTCACTCTCTACTGATGAAGCTGACGAGTCCTCTGGACTTTGGCCTTTGGTTTTGTAGCTAAGATTTTTTCTCCTAGCTGAGGTTAATTTACTCATTTAGGGCTGGGAACACGAGGTCATCATGCCATGCAATAGCCAGCAGAGCCAAAACCATTCATCTCGGTGGATACTTTCTGCAGCTGACACATGTCTAGCTTTCTAGAACTTTGGCCCTAAAATGAAAATTTTAAAAATATATATATATATATTTGTCATAGTTACAAAATCTTCCTGAAGAAGCCAAGGCTGATTTCAATGTTGGGAAGAGGGACCGCCATCCCTTTCAATTCCCAGGAATATACAGAGATAAGAGGGACTCTTCTCCATTCAATTTCAACACACTAACATCTGGAAATTCACAAGAAAATCTTCATGGGGGGTTTCACTTGGCAGACACATGATACAGACCACAGAATTACGTGGAGGGCCCCAAACACAGCTAGTGCTGTATGGCTAGGCGGACAAAAACATGAAACATTCAGCCTTCAAGATAACAAAAAAGTTTGCTCAAGCCATCCCAGGAATCTGTGGAAGTTGTCAGCTATTAATAAGTCCTCAGTTTGGGCAATCTTTACAAGTACTTCTCCTGCCTTGAATGTCAAACCTCCCAAGCTGCTGTATAAGTAAAGCCACAGTCAGTGACTACCCCCACATGAACAGGCTTCAGGCTGTTCTTGATCTCCTTTCCTCCAATCTCTCTGCTCCTCTTTCTTGCTCCTGCCAGGGAACCTTTAGCAAGACCTTCGTTTCGTGAGATTTCAGATCCTTGGTCACTTTCCTGACTTCACACACTAAGTCAAGTCCTCCTGTCATGCTCCCACATTACATTTTCTTCTAATGACATCTGCCAAAGTTGTGTTTAGCATTTAACTGTGTCACTATCCCATTAGTGTCTGCCTCTTGACTAATGGTTCCAGGAGGTAACCATGTATATAAGCCAGACCTAGTACAGTGCCTGGCACAGAGTAGAAATACAATAAGCATTTATTGAATGAATGAACAAACCCATAAACAGGGCTAATTTTGGTTCAATAACTTCATTTTTATTCCCCTCAAGTCACATCTTCCAAACCATATCTTTGATGATCTTTCTGCTGCAGCCTCCAGAGTGAATCTGATATTATTTGTTGTTTAGCATCTCCAAGTTGCTGCTGAAACCCTATCTATCAAACTCAAATTTCAAAGTAGGAAGAGGATAGACACAATTTTTTAGTCCTAGCAGGACGTTAAAGATTGCAAGTGTTCTTAACAATAGCCTCCTGATTTCTTAGAATTTTCTTTGTATAACTTTATGCAAGTTAATTGATATTTTCAGCCCTTGTCTCCTCTATCTGTAAAGTGGGGATAACAGAACCATTGGATGGAGTAGTCAGATAACATACACTCAATTCTTTTCCATTAAGTCTGATGTTAGTCAATGGTTTTTCCTAGATGCCTTTCACCAAATTGAAAATGTTCCCTCCTATTTCTAGTTTCATAAAAATTTTTGTCATAAGTAGATATTGAATTTTGCCAAACACTTTTTTGTGTAAGCATATACGATGGTACATAGTAGGCACTCAATAAAGTTAATTTCCTCCCTCTTTAATTAAGTACTTTCTTTTTTTTTCCCTCCTCCCCATAACTTACTGGCTAGCTGTTTGGCCAGTATTGAGTCATATGGAAACGACCTTGTTCTGTTGGGAGAAGCTCCAGAACCTATACCTTTGAACTTGGCTTAGACTTATACTGGAAGTTGAGAGTTAGAGAGGCCCAAAGCCCCAGACAGGGCCAACCCAAGTGTATCTACCTAGAGAAGTCCATTTCAACATCAACCTCTTCTCTTTCATCCTTTGTCCAGAGCTCTCCCTTTCCTCAGCCATCTGGAGACACTCTGTTCACCTGAGCCTGCTAACACAGCAGACCTATGCCCAATTCCTGGGGCATGGCCTCCTTGCCCTCCCCCACCAAGTCTTTAGTTTAAGGTTAAATAAGTCAAGTAAGAACTAAAGTGTTCATGACCCATAGTGGTTAAATGTCTTCACATTCTTTAATAGCATTTGTATTTCAGCAAAATAAATTATGATAACATTTGTATTTTACCAACATATGATACCCCAAAGCAGTGAAATACTATGTACCAAAAAAGAATATTATTGTATTAGTCTGTTTTCACACTGCTAATAAAGACATAACTGAGACTGGGTAATTTATAAAGGAAAGAGGTTTAACGGACTCACAGTTCCACATGGCTGGGGAGGCCTCACAATGATGGCTGAAGGCAAAAGAGGAGCAAAGTCATGTCTTACATGGTAGGAGGCAAGAGGGTATGTGCAGGGGAGCTCCCCTTTATAAAACCATCAGATCTCATGAGACGTATTCACTATCATAAGAACAACATGGTAAAGACCCATCCCCATGATTCAGTTACCTCCCATCACGTCCTTCCCATGACACATGGGAATTATAGGAACTACAATTCAAGATGAGATTTGGGTGGGGACACAGCCAAACCATAACAATTATATTTAAAAGGAATATTAAAAAGAAATTATTTTTATTTATTAACATGGAATAGCAACCATAACCCATTGTTGAGTAAAAAGCATGTTATAAGCGTGTATGGTGTGATCACCTTTCTTTAACTTTGTGTGTGTGTAGATATCTAAAAATTCACAAGAGTTACCTTTGAACAGTGGGATTGGGATTAATTTGCACTTTTTTTTTTTTTAAACAGATCTCACTCTGTTGCCCAGGCTGAAGTACAGTAGCATGATCTTGGCTCACTGCAATCTCCGCCTCCCAAGTTCAAGTGATTTTCCTGCCTTGGCCTCCTGAGTAGCTGGGATTACAGGCACGTGCCACCACGCCCAGATAATTTTTGTATTTTTAGTAGAGACGGGGTTTCACCATGGTGCCAGGCTGGTCTCGAACTCCTGACTTCAGGTGATGCACCCTCCTCGGCCTCCCAAAGTGCTGGGATTACAGGCATGAGCCACCACACCCGGCCTTTTGCACTTTCTTTTTAAAACTGTTTTGTATTGCTTGAATTTTCTAGCTGACTATGTACTGGCTTCATAATCAGGAGGAAAAACAATGATATACTTGCTGGGTTGTACTGCAGATTTAGAAACACACAGTTGTTTGCACCTCATGTTGTCTCAGGGATGAGTTAGATATCTTTTCGCTCATTAATTTGTATGATCATTTGTACAGCAAATTTTTCTTTGATGCCTAGACCTGTAAAATTAGTCAAACATAATCCTTACTCCCTTCCACTGCCTTTAGGATAATAAGCTCTATATATAATTAATTAGGATGAGAGTGATAATGATAATAATGTCTACCATTTTTGAGTAAGCCAGACACTGTTCTAGGTGCTTTTCAGAATTGTCTTTAATCCATACCACAAAAAATGAGGGAGGCATTGTTGGCCCTAATAAACAGATGTGGCCTACAGTGTCTTTAGCCTGAGACACCAGAGAAGGTTTCATAAAGAGGTGGCCTCCAACTAAGACTTGAAAGAGGGGTGGCATTTGACCTTCATGGATGGGAAGAAGGGAATTCCAGGTCAAAAGCTAAGAAAACATATAGAAGAGAGGCATTCATGAGGTCAAGTTATGAACCATTTAGTTTGTTAGAACTGCAGGGAAGGCTTCCAAAAGAGACAAGGTTATTGGGGGTAGATTGAGGAGGAGAAAGCTTTGAGTTCCAGATTTAGGAAACAAATCTGAAATCCTTATAATCCAGAGGTTAAGCTGCGCTCTTTAGACAGAGGGGTTTGGATGGTTGGTGGGAGGGTGCCACCCTGGAAAAGAAAGTCCATTTTGTTGCACTCACTTCAGTGTCTTTCGTTTAGGTGACTAGGACACATTGCTCCCACCAATGGCCCTTTCCCAAATTCCTTGCTGCAGCAGCATCCACAAGAATGGACAGAAAGCATACAATGAAGGGAAACTTTTACCTGTGGCTATTTCATTTGCCATGACCTTTGAATGAGCCTTCTTGTCACTTCCCTGCATTTTACTGCAGACTTGTGCTTTTTATTTATAAAGCAGATAGCCAGAAGAATCCTGCAGCTGGGGAAGTCAAGCCCAAAGCTCTGTGTGAAATCTGATGTGTATTTGAACATCATTAGCCCTTTGTGTGTTCTCCTCAATCTGCCAACTCTAGCATCAATGTCATACTATTCCTGTACTGGTGCTGGGCTGGGCCTGTGGAGCCCTGGGCATTACTGTAATTATAGGAAAGCTATATTTAGCGCTTATCACATGCCAGATACCATTCCATGGGCTCTAAGTGGAGTATCTCATTTAATCCTCAGAGCAGCACTACATGGCAGATACTATCATTTTCCCTCTTCTAGAAGTGAGAAAACTAAGGCCCAGAGGAGGTAAATAAGTTGCCCAAGGTGACAAGGTCCCAAATCTAGGAATGGCAGGGATTCAAATGCACAGTCTTCAGAGCTTACACTCCTACCCACTTCTTTATGCTTCCTTTTCTGCCTTCAAGGACCTTACAATGTATATGGGGTACAAGATCTGTACATGCAGACCACAGGTCAAGTAACATAGGAGTGCCTGATGGAACGAGGACAAGCACAGATGACCTCAGAGAGGACTCAAAGCTTTCAGAGAGTTGGTTACAGCCTACAGCCTCCTGCGGGAACTAGTGATTTCCCTGGGCCTGTGAAGAGGGGTGGAATTTGGGTAGATTTTTTTGAGAGAGAGGAGAGCACAAGGTGCAGACAGTGAAGAGCAAGATTTGGACTGGGAGTAATAGAGTCAGAAACAAGAATGGGGGAAGCATGGAAGGAGTAGCTGGATATGGCTGGAATGACACAGGGATGGGGGCAGGGAAACTCAAAGGAGCTTGGATACACGTGATAAATTAATGATACAATGTTTAAAAAAAAAAAAAAGTTCAGCTTCCCTAACACTCGCTGTGACTTTTCCATCAAATGCCAGTCATACAGAACACAAATGACTACTGCATACATAATGTTCCTTCATTAACTGATTCATTCAAGAAATGTTGACTGAACACCTACTCTGTGCTAATCATGATTTCTGCCCTCAGATGGCTTATGGCCTAGCAAAGGGGAGATAATTAAACATCTACAGAAGACAATTATATGTGAGTGCATATCAGAGGTGCATGGTTTAGATGGCATAAGGGTAAGAATTCCACAGGAGTGGCCTTTGGACACCCACAAGAGTGGAATTCCCCTTATACCAAAGCAAGATGGTGGTTTGGACAATATGCACGTGTTAAGGAGGAGAGGGGAGAAGCGAGGAAAGGAAAGGAAGATTGGATGTCTGGATAAATCTGCACTATATTTTGACACAGGGATGAGAGACCAGTGTTTTTCCAAGCTTTGTAAAATAGCTCTTTCAACTTTCTTTATTGATTTTTCTTTGCTTTCATCCATGGGCAAGAGATTTAAGCAATAGACGCCAATCTATACTGAAAATTAATGTCACCAACTAAGGTGTTCTTAATAAACAAAATTCACCATGCCCATTACCTTTTTCATGCAGAACGAGTTATCCCATGAGATACCCTAGTCCTTCTATACTTAGACATCTCAGCAGCCTGCTGTTTGCCATAGACACTATTGGACCCTGGATCATCAAGAGATCACCTGCTAACAAATGTGACACATGGCCTCCTCCATCTCTCTGCTTAAAGGTGTCTGTCCTCAGGATACCAAAGCTGGAGGGAAGAAGACAGGCCAGAAGTATTAGGGATATTAGGGAGTTAATGCCCTAGAAAGACCCCTCAACCAATGAAAGACTGGAGTTGGTGTCAAGACTCAGCTTCCCTGTGCCTTGTTGGTACAATGTGGAGGTTTGTCCTACATAGCCTTTCAGAGGGACCCCAGTAGAATTGGGCCCCACTTGTCTATAGCAATAGCATAGTTATCAGGGCCTGCACTATGGGCTTTTCCTTATTCCCTGTCTTACTTTACAACATCATCACCATGTTTCCTGGAATCACGTCTTAAATGAACCACCTGTACCCAAACCTTGCCTCAAGGCTTCTTTCAAAGAAATCCAATCAAAAACATTCTCCAGCAGCCATGACTTGACCTAGACTCAGTTGAGGTCATTTAAAAGGTGTAAAGATTCTTGAAGATCTCTTTACTTCATAAAAAAGTCCATGTGTCTGTTTTGGGGGTTCTGAAACAGTAAGGCCAATAACAATGAACTTCCTTTTGCCCTAGGATCTAGATTTTCTCTATAAGTGCCTACTCAACTTGTGAGGGACATGGAGAATATGTGTAGTTGATATTGTTTGTTCTTTTCTACAGAGGAGACTATTCAGCATCCATTTCACCCTTTTGTTTTTCTAGTAGTATTTCCATTCTGATCTACTTTTTCCCATAACTCATAAAGCTTAGGAGAAACTGATCCTGTCCACAGCTCCAGAGGTGGCTCCTGAGTTGCCTGAGTCAATCAGTATATGGCAGACCACACAGGTAGGCAGACGACTAAATTTGGCTCAATCATACTAAAAGGCCAGGTATATGATCCATATCTGAGGGGAGAATTTTTTCATGTTTTTCTCTCTTTTTCTTTGCTATTGAATACGGATAAAGAATCATGCTGTTGATTCACTGATAAAGCCATTGGATGACCATGCAAAAACAAATAACTCTAATTGAATGCCAATGTTGAAGCTACAGATTGGAAAACTAGAAAAGAATCCTGTGACCCTGATAGTATCATTGAGACACTGAATCAGCCACCAACACTGACTTCTGCCCAGTAGCCAGTAACTGTCTTTGTGGGGGTCGGGGGAGATTCCTGATCTGTAGCCTTTGACAATTTCTATAGTGTAAATACTCCCAGTATGACAATATCAAGCTATCAACGATTTAACAACTGGCTTTCAAAATTCCTAAGAATTTAGTAATTAGCTCTTGTGAGCTGGTACAAGTAGGCTTCAGTGAGCCACACCTTTGGACTGCCTGTCATATGAGGTAATACATTTTTTTCTACAGTTTAAGTCAGCTTGAGTACCTAAACACATCCTGACACTCCTACCCAGAACCCTCTATCATCCTCTTAACAGAAGTCCTCCTGCCTCCCCACTCCCAATCTTTTGACACTCAGGGGAAGCTGATCCTATGCCAGGCTCCAAGAATGGGGCCTGTGGATTAAGCCAATCGACATATCCAATTCTCCAATCATAAGTCATTAATTCAGAGGTCGCTTATGATCTAAACAGTTGAATAAGAATGGCTCTCAGCAGCAAGGAGCAGCAGGAGCAAGGGTCAGGGGAGGTGCTTGGAGGACGGGGGGCATAAGTGTCATTTCTTCTGGACTGTGATATTTAGATAGGTCGAGAATGGTTGCAGGCACCTTGTCACTACCAGTTTGGCAAGCAAATATATGAAGAGATGGACAAGAAGTAGATAAATGAAGAGGGTAGATTCAAGAAAATAACAAGGAATCTTGACTGGAGGCACTGGTTTAGGTTAGTCAAACCCACCCCATATCTGAGCATCTAGTAACATATGTCAATAAATTTCCATTTTGCTTAAGCATCTGAGGTTTTTTATTGTTGTTGTTACCATCTATCAAGGTACAGAGCTAAACACTGGTAGATACTTCATATACACTTTAATCTTCACAAAAAATAAGGAAATTAAGACTCGAAGAGATTAAGCCATTTGTTTCTACCTTTATGAGGAAAATAAATATTTGATCCCAGATCTGTATGACTCTCAATTCACCACTATCATAAGATGCAGACCTATGTGGGAAACCCTACAGTCTCTTTTCTTTTCTCCTGAGTCCTGTATTTGTCTGTTCTTGCATTGGTATAAATAACTGAGACTGGGTAATTTTTTGTTTGTTTGTTTTTTGAGATGGAGTCTCGCTCTGTCACCCAGGCTGGAGTGTAATGGCACAATCTTGGATCACTTTAACCTCTGCCTCCTGGGTTCAAGCAGTTCTCCTGCCTCAGCCTCTCGAATAGCTGTGATTACAGGTGCCCGCCACCACACCCGGCTAATTTTTTGTATTTTTAGTAGAGATGGGGTTTCACTATGTTGGCCAGGCTGGTCTCATACACCTGACCTTGTGATCTGCCTGCGTTGGCCTCCCAAAGTGCTGGAATTACAGGCATGAGTCACCGCACCCAGCCGAGACTGGGTAATTTATAAATAAAAGATGTTTAATTGGCTCATGGTTCTGGAAGCTGTACAGGAAATGTAGCTTCTTCTGCTTCTGGGAAGGCCTCAGGAAACTTACAAACATGGTGGGAGGTGAAGGGAAAGCATGCATGTCTTACATGACCAGGGAAGGAGCAAGGGTCAGGGGAGGTGGTACACACTTCTCTTTTTCTTTTTGGGATGGAGTCTCGCTCTGTTGCCCAGGCTGGAGTGCAATGGCACGATCTCAGCTCAATGCAACCTCCACCTCCTGGGTTCAAGTGATTCTCCCTGCTTCAGCCTCCATAGTAGCTGGGACTACAGACGTGTGCCACCACGCCCAGCTAATTTTTTGTATCTTTAGTAGAGACGGGGTTTCACCATGTTGGCCAGGCTGGTCTCAAGCTCCTGATCTCAGGTGATCTGCCCGCCCTAGCCTCCTAAAGTGCTGGCATTACAGGTGTGAGTCACTGTGCCCGGCCTTTGCTACACACTTCTAAAACAACCAGATCTCACAATTACTCACTCACTATCACAAGAACAGCACCAAGGGATTGGTGCTAAACCATTAATGAGAACTCCGCCCCCATGATCCAATCACCTCCAATCAGGCCCTACCTCCAACATTAGGGATTACAATTCGACATGGGATTTGGGTGGGGACACAGATCCAAACCATATCAAGTCCTGTCAAAGGGCCCTATATAACTGAAAAACAACTTGATCCTTAGTTTTAACTTAAAAATGTAAAACAAAACAAAACATTGTTTCTAGTTATCTAATGGGCCCTGGGGTTAATACCAAATTGTAAGTTCATTTCTTGAGGGCCACCTCCTACCAATCTGAGCAAATAGCAATGATACATAGAACGTCTCTAAAGGAAAATAAAAAGGCATAGCCAAGCTCAAAAATAAGATCAATCCTTTCATGGTATAAGAATGGAAACAACTACAAGATGATGACTTGTGCACAACAAGCCAAAGCTTAGTTGGATCAATGCTTGGAAGCAAAGCAAAGCCTGCTTTTAGGTTTGGTACGGAATAAATGTGCCCCACCTGAGGCAGAACAGGAACCAGGCTCCCTTCTTAAAACCACGGGCTGATGTAGAACTGTTGCAGTCTTGCCAGTGCACCACAATGTTTCAGTCTTGTTGTCTGAGGTAGTACCTGGAGTTCTTTGTCTCATGACCAAGAAAATTAAGGAGCCTGGACACAAGGGTGAGGTTGGAGTAAAAGTTTAATAATTGAAAGAAGAAAGCTCTCCGCAGCAAAGAGGAGGCTGAAAGAGGGTTGCCACTTTTACAGTTGAATCCAAAAGCTTTTATAAGAAAAAACTCCTTTCATCTCTGTAGCTGTTTGTGTAACTTCCCTTAACTGTGTAGTAGCTGTCTGTGTAACTCTCCTTACCTGTGCAGCTGCAGGTATGTCTTAGGTAAGCACAAAGTACAGCTTCTCTTGTTTATGAAACTGTGGGTATGTTTTAGGTAAGCCCCTCTCCCTGTGCAAGTTCCCATGGAGCCCATCATGTACATGTCTGAAAAGGGGAGGAAACTTTTTCCTGGGAGCCCGCTGATTATCCAAAGAACAAAGGCTTCTTTGTTAGGCCTTGCTCCCTTATCTCTGCAGCTAAAGCTAAATTTTTCCCCAGGCTGCTCTATCTGTGCCTGTAGCTTTGATTTTTTCAGGCTATTTCTCTGTTTGAAGGAGTTTTACCAAGGACCCCTCCTAACTGTCTGCCTAACCAGTTTCTTTTCCTTCTTCTCTCTCTGAACTTTCTGTCTTGTGGAAGACAGCTAAGACAGAGCTACTAAGACAGACCTACTGCCAAACACTCCCTGGGACTGTGGCTTCTAGGAAGCTACAGGCCTAAGGGTCTGAGAAGATTCGGCACAGCCTATGACCAGTGGCTGAGCCAAGCTGCCCCCAAATGCATGACTGAATCTGTGATAGTCCTGATATCACCATGATGTATGAGCCTCAAGATTATCTCAGTAAATCTTGGCTCAGAACTGGGGACTCTGGAAGAACTGGCAAAAGAACACACAGAACTATTAAATATGGAGAGATGAGTGCAGAGAGAAAAAAATGGGCTATTCAAGATAAGCCTACAAATTTCAAAAATTCATAAGGAAAATCACATGAGGAAAGCCAGCCTACAAGGTCAGCATGAAATCACTGCAGTTAAAATTAAAATAATAGAGCAACTCTAAAAAAGACTCTAAAATAACTCAGTAGGATCTTCAAGAAGGTAAATAATGGAATAAGTTATATTAAACTATGATAAATTGTCAATGAAATAAAGAAAGTGCGTTGAGCCTCAGAGAACTAAAGGGTGTGGGGTGGGGTCGGAAGTGTCTAGAGGATATACCTAAGCCCAGGCCCCACAAAGTTGTCTCTCCCCAGTGGCTGGGGTTCCCTGCCTAGGGACTGGGGAAGGAGAGGTCTAATCTTTTCAATGAAGTGATAACATTAGAGTTATGACAATAGGAGCCAGAAGCAAGGCCAGCCCTGAGCTCTCCATTCTCATGTGTTTCAGGTGGAACAAGAGAAACTGGTCCAGGCCAGGCCCCAGCCTCCTAGTGAGAGGTGACAGTGTGCTGGCAGCCCTCACAGCCCTTGCTCGCTCTCAGCACCTCCTCAGCCTTGGCGCCCACTCTGGCTGTGCTTGAGGAGCCCTTCAGCCCGCTGCTGCACTGTGGGAGCCCCTTTCTGGGCTGGCGAAGGTCGGAGCCGGCTCCCTCAGCTTGCAGGGAGGTGTGGAGGGAGAGGCATGGGCGGGAACCGGGGCTGCACATGGTGCTTGTGGGCCAGCATGAGTTCCAGGTGGGCGTGGGCTCAGCAGACCCTGCACTGGGAGCGGCCAGCCAGCCCCGCCGGCCCTGGGGCAGTGAGGGGCTTAGCACCTGGGCCAGCAGCTGCTGTGCTTGACTTCTCACCAGGCCTTAGCTGCCTCCCCATGGGGCAGGGCTCGGGACCTGCAGCCCACCATGCCCAAGCCTCCCCAACGATCACCGCCCCCTGCTCTAAGGCTCCCAGTCGCATTGACCATCCAAGGGCTGAGGAGTGCGGGAGCATGGCGCGGGACTGGCAGGCAGCTCCACCTGCAGCCCCGGTGCAGGATCCACGGGGTGAAGCCAGCTGGGCTTCTGAGTCTGGTAGGGACTTAGGGAACCTTTATGTCTAGCTAAGGGATTGTAAATACACCAATCGGCACTCTGTATCTAGCTCAAGGTTTGTAAACACACCAATCATCACCCTGTGTCTAGCTCAGGGTTTGTGAATGCACCAATCGACACTCTGTATCTAGCTACTCTGGTGGTGACTTGGAGAACCTTTGTGTTGATACTCTGTATCTAGCTGATCTAGTGGGGACGTTGAGAACTTTTGTGTCTAGCTCAGGGATTGTAAACGCACCAGTCAGCACCCTGTCAAAACGCACCAATCAGCTCTCTGTAAAATGGACCAATCGGCTCTCTGTAAAATGGACCAATCAGCAGGATGTGGGTGGGGCCAGATAACAAAATAAAAGCAGGCTGCCAGAGCCAGCAGTGGCAACTGGCCCGGGTCCCCTTCCATAGGGTGGAAGTTTTGTTCTTTCACTCTTTTCAATAAATTTTGCTGCTGCTCACTCTTTAGGTCTACACTGCCTTCATGAGCTGTAACACTCACTGCGAAAGTTTGCAGCTTAACTCCTGAAGCCAGCGAGACCATGAACCCACCGGGAGGAACGAACAACTCCAGACGGGCCGCCTTAAGAGCTGTAATGCTCACCGCGAAGGTCTGTAGCTTCACTCCTGAGCCAGCGAGACCACAAACCCACCAGAAGGAAGAAACTCTGAACACATCCGAACATCAGAAGGAATGAACTCCGGACACGCTGCCTTTAAGAACTGTAACACTCACCGTGAGGGTCCGCGGCTTCATTCTTGAAGTCAGTGAGACCAAGAACCCACCAATTCCGGACACACTAGGGCTCAGCGAGGGCAGAAGGAGGAAGGGACAGATCCAGGCACTGATCCCTTCTGCCTGCTCTGTGGGCACCTCTGCTGTACTAATAAAGTCTGTCTGCACTGCAAGAAGAAAAAAAAAAAGAGAGAAAAGGGAAAGAAGAAAGAAAATTAAAAAAAGCAGGAATGAAACATATACAAGTAAAAATGTAAAAGGAACAATAAGAAACATTAAGAATGAAAAATATAGAAAACAAAATACATACCTCAGTGGATAGACTATTCTAGCCGGGCTTAGTAAAAACTAACAGTTAATTTAAAAAGAGTAATGAGAAATTTCCTAAAATGCAACATACGGAGACAATTATTGTTTTAAAAAAAATTAAGAGACCTAGAAAATAACTCAAGAAGCTTCAACAAATAATAACAACAGTTTCAGAAGAAGAGAATGAGAATGGTAAAGAAACACTATTTAAAGAGAAAATAGCTGGGATTTTTTCCAGAAATGATGAAAGCCCTGCCTTTCTAATTAAATCTTATTAAATAGATTAAGTAAAAATAAATACACATTGAAAGTCATTGTTGTGAAACTGCAGAACACATAGGAAAGTAGTAGGGGAAGCTTTAAAAATTACCAGAGGAAAAAAAATTACAGATTACCTACAAAGGAATGATATTTACACCAAGAGCAGACATAATCAACAGCAACAGATGTTAAGAAAACATGGTTTAATATTTTTAAAGTGCTGAGGAAAATTACAAATGGCCTTGTATAGAATTCTAAACCCAAACAAATTACCAATCAGGAGTAAGCATAGAAAAAAATTCTAAATTTCATTGATTATATACCTTATTCAGATAGTTGTACAGAAACTGATGATTCAATATCTAAAAAGTGTCTGATCTAATCAGAGGTCAGAAGACCCTGTGGGCATGCCAATAAAGAAGACCAAGATGTTTGAATATGCAATGCTTTCAATGTGATCTGTGAGCTCCTTCTGCAAATAGCCTTTTTTTCTGCAGCTCATGGGTGACCTTTGGGTGATTCTCCTACCCAGTATGCCCACCACAAAGAGAACCAGGTTCACCAGAATGAGGATGATTCTGGACCGTGGGGTCACCTCAACTCGGGAATGTGGCTGTGCTCATTGACATGGGAGAAGTCATGCTTGGGGCCACTAGGTGAAGCCATGAGGAAAAAAACCACATCACCAAGTACAAAGACTTCTCCACTGTCTTCCTCCCAAAGGAACTCAAAGTTCTTGCTCTGAGTTCACCAAAGTGGAATAGGGTGTTCTCTAACTTAATCTTGTCTTGCAAAGTAGAACTTGCACTTCTGGCCATGAAGAATAACTAGTACCTAACTTGCCCTACTTCTGTCTAGAAATAGAAAACTGGAGAGCAGACAGCACAGACTATGATGGCTCAGAAAAGAGAAATTAATGAGTGAACCCTGTGATCACTCAGACTTTCTGCCTAAAGACACTTTCCAGACCATAACACAGGAGGGAACCCTAAGCAAAGCACAACTATCTTACCGACATGCTTACATGTTGAAATGCTAATACTTTGGGACTCATGGGTTAAATAGAATATATTACTAGCATTAAATTGCAGAAAAGAAAGGTGGCCCACTGGCCAGCATGTAGCTAGAATGGATAATATGCAGGAAAGAATATTTCAAAATCCTCATTTGGCTTTCTTAATAATAAAACCTACCCCTTGAAATGTATACTTTCTTATCCACATTCCAGTATCTGGAATACGAAACTGTTTGACGAATAATCATGTGCTGTTTGGAAGAGGTCTTCTTGGCAATAGCAACCTATGGAAATAATTATTTAACTACTAAAAGGGTTAAGGTTAAAAAGGAAGTACCTTCTAAGGGATCCAAGAAGCATTAAAGACAAGTTATATTTAGCATCAGTTAGAGAAAAGGAAGACAAAACCAAAAAGCAAGCCCCTACCAAAAAAGAGAAAACCAGAAATACCAAAAACATTATTTAATTACGTACTTTTACCTATATTTTATAATTCCAAACACAAGGGGCAAAAAAATCCTCCATAAATGGAAGTTCTTTAGGTGGTTCCAGGTATCTGCTTCAGTTTATAACTATCTTCACAGTTTACATTTACAGAAATATAAATATTATTTCTTAAAATTCACATTTAATACAAACTTTCAAAGATATTTAAACGTAGGATAGTAGTAAGGAGAATCTTAAATCTTAGAAACTTGGGGGTATGACAAGAGCAATTCCTAAATCCAGATGATGATTTTACCATTGCTATGTATAAGCTGCCATTTGTAGCAGGTTTTACATGGGACATTATTGAACATTTTCGGGGGTGGGGGAAAAATAAGAATCTATTTTATCATCTTTGATTGCAAACATGGGTTCATGACATGTCACAAAGCTACTTTCTCTGAGAGCAGTTAGTATCTCCAAACCAGGCTAGAATTTCTAAGGGCAGTCTTGCCTTTTGGTGGACTATTAAGTATTTTTTGGTGATATTTCCATGTTTGGGGGTGCATTAGGCCATTAAGATGAGCACCAAGGCAAAAATGGAGAGGTGGCAAAGCTCTAGTAATACTCTCCTGCTCAAAATGCTTTTGATGCCTGAGAAAGAAGTAGGTAGTTTTGAGCCAGTAAAATGCATACACATATATAATAGTCAAACATTATAATTTAATGTTTTCTATGTGAATTCACAATTGAAATATTGTATAATATGACACCAATAAACTGTGCAAAGGTCTTTGAGGTAGAGCCTTATTTAAATTCTGCACTCAAATACATATACTTTACATAAATATGATCTTCTCAGAGTTATAAACAAAGTTTAGAAATATGGTAAAATCTCTAGAATTATCAGAGGTAATTTAGAGGCAAAGTGGCCTGCCTGTTCAGTAACTGATATTTCAGCAAAAGGTCATAGCTTCTTCTATTGATTCATAGAGTGGGGTTAGCCTGTGGATAGACATTTGTACTAACATACACTGATTACATTCATACTACAGAATCATATGTTAGATGCCAGAGCATAATCTTAATCTTTCATCCTCTGCATACACTCCTATTTGGGTACTTAGCATGCCACTGCATTTACTCTTGATGAAGTTTGTTTTCCCAACTAGATTTTAAACATCCTTGGAGGCAGAATCATGAGATATTAAAAATCTACAAATATGTTGGCTCTTCAGCGCTAATAAATGATAAAATGTACCCAGTAAAAAACCAAGCAGTATTTACAGCCAGCTATTAAGAATCTTTTCAAACACTAATTGCATATACTCAGAACTGAATTTGTTGTTTTTCACTCTAGACCAAGCTTTGGATTTCATTTCTGAAGTTTGAATTTTCTGAGTCACTAGTAATGTCCTTGAGGATGATAGTCTGAATTTTCTCTGCAAGAGTACAAAGATTGGCTTTTTTGAGATCTTTAATCAATGTGTCATACGCTTCTTTCTTTCCATGAAGTTGATGCCAATTACGAAGCAGTTGAACTTTCTGTTCTGCTGTGTCTTGGACATTGTCATTCTTGATCTCATCTATTTTGGCTTCATTGACACCATTCTTTCGAACAAAGCCTTTAACTTGACTTAGTGTCATGACTCCAGCAATAGTGGTGATATATTTACTCAAGTCAACATCTGAAAAATAGAAAATAGTCTGAAAATTTGTTTTTCTAAATGAAATTCCCATTAGTGAAAACCATGTTTATTTCTCTTTTTATAGTACTTCAGAATATAGCTAAGTCCTAAAGGTCTATGAAGAGCTGACTAGGGGAATACAGAAACAAGACAACCTTGAGTTCTAACTCCAAATCCTGCCATATACCCAGTAATTTGTTAAATAACCTGGGCCACAATACATAACATTTCTGTATCTTCTTTTCTCATTTATAAATTAAGAGGATTGGAAAAGATCACCTATAACATCTCTTATGGATCCAATGATCAATGACCCACAAATCTAAAAGTATAAGCAAAGAGTTTATGATCATCTTATCTCTAAATCACAGATCAAAGAACAACTGAATGGAATCATGTATGTTGTTATAGAGTTGGGTACACTGATAATACCTGAGTCTACAGTACACTTTAACCTCTAGATCTTTTTAGGCAGGAGTTCTGTAATACATCTAGCTGATTATGAAGGAAAAGTTTCTTAAGCCTCAGACTATTGTGTCTTATTGTTACTTGATTATTTTTAACTATGAGTATTCATTATAAATTTAAACAAACTGCCTGATAAATGCTTTATGCTGAGCAGGTAGAATTGTATGAGAAATAACAAGATCCCATAATATGTCACTGAAATTAGTAACATTATTTTACTCTGAAATTGGCCTATTACTCTAAAGGATGCCATCTCTATGAAATAAAATGATAAAAGCCTTACCAGATAAATTTATTGCCACTGTTTCCTAGAAAGCAAAAAATGGAAGCAGAGAAAGACAAATAAAAATATATCTTTAGAATATTCTAAATGTGAACTTCTAATTTTTCCTTAATTCAGAAAGAAGTACAATCAGTTGCTTGATGTATAAAATTAGGAAGCTAGATTAAGTGATTAAGAAGGTTACTTTTACCATTCAATTTTTATTCTGAAAGGTTCCGGCCTTGCCAGAAACTAAGCAATATTGTCTTAGTTTTTAAAGGCAAGAAACCTAAAGAATTCATAAAATAGGTTGAGGTTATTTTTCATATAGACTTATTAAAATAAATAATAAATATAACTACTCTAAAATTTTCTTCCCTGTAACTATTCTTATTCTTAATACCAGAAAATGGCTCAAATTGAAATTTTTTTTACCATATTAATTTAAAGAATCCTAACTCCCACTGAGCCCTGGCCCCAAATAAGAAAATAATTCCATTAAGTGCAACTGGTTTCTTTTCTCGGTGTATTTCTTGCTATCTGAAATATATTGATACCATGTTGGGAAAAGATATGGTGAGACATAAGGTCAACCGGCAGCCAGAGAAAGTTAAGCTGTGCCCTTATGACAAACTTTAAGAGCAATCTCTTTGCTCAGGCTTGGATACTGAACCCATGCCTGGTAAAGGCTGTTTCTCTGCAGGGATAACAACAACACGGAACATGGAGGTTGGCCAAGTTCTTTTTTCAGCTCATTTTCAGCACACTCTCAATTCCCTCCTTTGTTGATTCTTACGGTTTTTGTGTACAAGTTTACTTTTAATTTGGGTACCATATCATAATTCATCTGTGAGGCCCCTTTAACCTATGCACCCACAAACACAAGCAATGTTTAAATAAAGAAAGTAACAGGCCGGATGTGATGGCTCACACCTATAATCCCAGAACTTTGGGAGGCTGAGGCAGAAGGATTGCTTGAGGTCAAAAGTTTGAGACCAGCCTGGGCAACAAAGTGAACCCTGTCTCTATAAAAAATAAAAATAAAAAATTAACCTGGCATGGTGGTGCATGCCTGTAGTCCCAGGGTCACAGTTGAGGCAGGAGGATCACTTGAGCCCAGGACTTTGAGGCTGCAGTGAGCCATGATTGCACCCCTGCACTCCAGCCTGGGCTATGGAGCAAGACTCCATCTCAAACAAAATGAAACAAACAAGAAACAAAAAAGTAAAAGGAAGTAACAAAAAGCCAAATCACTAATTTCTCTATTTTTCTTTTCAAGGAAAGCTGATACCTATTTCAATACCTACAGGATTTAAAGTTGGAGATTCATGAGAACCTTGGTTTTCCTTTCTGTGCTTTCTGCATGTTTTCTGTACTTCCTTTCTCTTCACTGAAAGAACAAAGAAATTTTATCAACTCAGGTCTCAGCCTTGTAGAATGCATGTGAGAACATACTTTCACACTAAGAGAAATATAAGAAGGAAAAAGGAGAAATTCAGTGAAACTTAAAAGTGGCCAAACATCGCAGGAGACCGCTGATTTTGGAACTTTCGTACTACTAAGTCAAGTGTTCTAGTGAAAGGACATATCTTAATTAGTCATCTAATTACCACAGGCTGGCCTAGCAAGGAGATGGCTTTTGACTTACCATATGGCAAGCACCACTCTCTGTCCAGCAAAGATGTGGACGGCAAGACTATGGCAGGATGCAGAAGCCGTAGGACAAGCAAGTCAACATCAACTTGCTATGGATGCCCAGAAATGAAATACACACACAAATAACTCAAGCATACATACTCAATAGGTGTATGCATTAAAGTCAATGTGAGATAGAAGAATCTGTATGTCTCTGAGCACAATTACAGTGCTTAAATATCCCAAATGTATTTTCAGCTAAACAACCGCTAAAGGCAAGGCAAACTTTCTTCTTCAACTGAACTGAAGAAACAGATAATTGTTCTGAGAAGGGAAAATTGAATACTTCTAAGTTACTGAAAGTTGGTGTGACCCTGTAGTTGATGAATGACTTAAAGGGATTTTTCTAGACTAATTATGATAATATCTAATTTTGGCTTTTCTACTGACTCTACTAAGTCACCTTTGTATAACATGTGTCCCCATAGTATTTTAAGTTAAGAAGGAGAAATAATTAAAAACAAGCAATTAGGCCGAGGAAGAGGAGGCAGTGAAGTACAAGTTTTTAAAGTGTTCCCTGCAATGTGTTTCCTGGGAATGCCTTTGCTTCTTGTGTTCTCTTTTTGCATAGGGAGATCTCAATGAATAGTGAAGAATTGCTTCTGATTTTTGGCCAATTCTGCTGCTGCAGAGAACACCTGTTCATAGGAAGGATGAGAATACCACTCAATGCCCCAAAACTGTTGCTCAGAAACTAGCTGAGGAATAATTTCATTTGTTCTTATCAGTCAGCTCTCAAGGCTGCATTCAGGGGCAAGAAATTAACAATACATAAATCTACCAAAGTGGTAGCTTTTTATAGGTAAGAATGAGGCAAATCTTTGTGAACTACTTCCCAAGTTATTTCAATCTGCAGTTTGAACAAAGCAAGAACTTACCCCAAACAATTAGTGGAATTGGCAAAAGAAGAAGACAAAGCCACCCCAAGTTAGATCTGGATCCTGTAGGTTGGAACATTGGACATTTTATATGAAAATAAGCAATCTTTAAGATTAAATAAAGGACTTTCTAGTAATCAAGAGTGATTGGTTTTTCTTCACATCTTTCCATGGGGTTGGGGGAAAGGAGAATATAACCGTAAAAAAATAATTACCTTCCTCTTTGCACTTGGTGTTGCTGGTGAGTGTGCATTCCTTGATGATTCCATGTTCACATCTAGAAAAAAAAATACAGGAGAAATTCAAAAGCCTGGCAGAATAATTCCTTTATAATTTTCAATGGCACTTTGTAAATTAGGGGCCATTTTATTCATCTTTGCATCTCTGGCAAACGTATTCCTTCAAATATTTCTAAATTAGTATCTAAAGCTGGCACAAGTTAATATAATTTGGATGGCTGGATGAAAAATATCATAAGGAATGACTCTGTCTTAAGATTTCAAGAGTTAAAGGAAGATAGGAAAATAGTGACACACAAGAGAGATGAAGTGGATACAAAAATAAACTTAAACCTAGTAATAAACTGAACACGTAAATCCTATAGCTTAAACTAGCTCTTAAAATAAACTGTCAAAAGTAATTTCAAAAAATTCCTATAGACCAAGAAAATGGCCAGGTGATAGCCACGCCCATGATGTAGCTCAGGGAGGGTACTCAGCTGGCCCTTAGAGGCTGCCACTTTTAGCAACCGGTGGTGATCAGGAGACTCAAGAGGTTCATGTGTGATTTCCTTCAGACAGACAAACATTCACAATCAGGTTGTCTGAGTTCACAGCCTCTGCCCATTACCTGACTAGGTGAGCTTGGGAAGTCACACTGCCATGAGCCTTTTATCTCATCAATAACATGGAAATAATATTATCTATTTCAAAAGGTTATGATGACAAGAAAATTAAATCAAGATTATGAAATATTTGGAATTACTATTATTGTTATTATTTTACTAAGTCAGCTGCTTCCCCAATGCCTACCTAGCCTGTCATCATAGGGGCACTCTCAGACACTTGTGGCCAGGGGAGAGCCTGGGACAACTGTACATAAAATTTTCCTAGCAAATAAAACATAAGGCATCATGTGCTTATTTCTTAAGCCTATTAGATGAACTCCTAAAAGCTTCCCAAGATGACTTACAAGGCAGGTTCTCTAACTTTGGGTCAAAACCAACCTCTTTAGCCTAAAAGACAAGGCCCTTCATGATTCAGCCCTGAACGCTTCTCAGTCTTTCCTACACTCCAGCCAGGTATTCTGTTTTCCTGAGCTTCCTTTGTCTCTTTGCAGCTGCTGTTTCCCTGCCTATAATGTGCATTCCATCCATGTGCACCTGTTAATGCTCTTTCTTTTCTTTCTTCAAGATTCAAGTCATGAGACACATTCATGTCTTCACCTCCATCTCCTCAGGCAGAGTTGAAAAGTTTTTCTGTATAATTTGTAACACCTGGAACATAAGTCTCTTCTGATGCTATTCTCATGCTGTTGAAACACAATAACCATTGCTTTCCTTGACTGTCTGTGCTTCTGGACTGATACCTTGATGCCAGGCATATGTCTGGCTCATATCTTTAGCTTAAGTGGCCAGCAAAGTGTCACCTACACAGGAAGTTCACCAGTGTTTAAATGAGCAAACAGTCATCTAGTTGCTTGGAGGCAAAGCAGGACTAGAACCCTAATTCTTAACTCTCAGTCAGTGTTACTTCCCTAGGAAAATGATAACTCTCATGTTATATCTAGTGTTTTAATCAGAGAAAGACTAAAACTTACTTGGTGCAAGGGTCACAGTGTTCACATACAGTAGAGTTACAAAAAAAGTTTGGTTTACATCTGCACTTGGTATTCTGGGTCCGGGTGCAGTTTATTTCCACTTCTAAGCCTAGAAAATCAGTTTGGAAACTATTAGTTATAGCGGCTAATTATAAGCAGACTATGAAAATGGTGGGCAGGAGCTGCATGGATTTTTGAGATCCACTGCTTATATCAACAGTCACAGCATGACACCAGTAATACAGTCAGTGTTTAAACACAGAACAGGAAACCCCAGGTTGAAATGGCCAGCAATCATTTAGCAGCAACCAAGACAAACCTCACCAATACTTAGACGTCTCCCCTGTTCCTCTAGTCTCTAGCCTTAACACTCAAAGGGTGACCTGGGGACTGGCAGCATGAGCATCACCTGGGAGCTTGTTAAAAATGTAGAATGTTAGGCTCTACCCCAGACTTACTCCATCAGGCCAATACCAAGGTCCTCACTCAGAGACTCTGATGTAATTGCCCTGAGATGGGACCTAAACATGAAACATTTTTAGTAGCTCCCTAAGCAATTCTAATGCACTGCCAGGGATGAGAAACATTGCTTTATAGGCTGAATAGGGATGGGAAAAGCTTTATGTCCAGAGGTTTCTTCATGTCAAACAAAACTAGAAACACTTCTGTTATACTTCAATCTGGGTCCTTAGAATACATTGAGATATCCATGAAAATTCAGGTCCCCAGATGGAATTATCAGGACAAACTAAATCCCCAAAGAAAGGGGGAGCATTCCTACCTACCTTTTGGATTTCTGTGTCCTTGTATCTGCAGGCTTCTGAATTTTTCTGGCCATGAACGAGCACCATTATATAAGCGTAAGTCAAGGCCAGAAAAAAAATAATTTCTGAGCTTTTGATTTGAGCTGATGAACCCTGTTCCTAGGGTTCATATTTACTCATTCTCCTATATCTGGAAGAATTGCCTAGACTTACTCATAAAGGTCTAGACCAGTAGTTAGCTCGGCACCTGGTTCTGCGGTACCCTAGCCACCTGTCCTTCCCTTTCCTGTGTGTCAACATAGCACCACAGTAGGCCCCAATTTCAAATTGTCTTATAAATGGTTCTACATGAAATTCCAAGATTGGCCTCTTTCAATTGCATTTTAAGACTCTTACCATGTCCTTCATCACACAATCTACATCTTCTGCATTTGGAAGAAAAATGGGCTTTGTCTGTGTACTCCTTCCCTTCTTGGCAGGGCACGCAGTCTGGTTCATCCCCATTGACTGTGCAGTCCCTAGCTTTCCTTTCACCTGCCCAAGGAAAAAAGGAGCAAGTGTTTGAACAGGACACGGGCAGGTAACAGGGTGGGAACTATAGAGGGATGACAGACAATAAAACTCTTCTAAAACACAAGGGGAGGGGGGGTAGGCTAATGAGATATAAATACAATGGGGGAGAAGATTATTTTAAAAGTCATGTCAACAGACAGAAAGTCTCCCAAGACAAAAGCTAAAAGAGTGACTGAAGCCCATAGAAATAGGATGATTAGCAACAGGAGCATACAAAAAAAAAGGAAGGTTAGAATGACAAAGTACACTGCATGAAATGCCTTTGCCAAGAACTAACTTCCTTGGAGAAAGGGGAGAGGTTGGTTGGTATATATTCAGAGTGGGGATAGCTGTTACTGGCCACTGAGATTATCAAACTAACTCACATTGCTCTGACTTTTCATTTTACTTTCCAAAGTCCACAAATCCTGATAAGAAACAGTGTAATAAGGAAAAGAACATTTGAAGTTTTAAAAGCCTTGGTCAAATCTTGAGCAGCTATAAAATCTTTAACGAAGTGTTGTTTTCTCCAAGCCTAAATTTCATCCTGCATATGATGGAGATAGTAATATTTCTCTTGCATTGCTGTCAGAGCTGCACTCGGCCTGCCTAGTGAGCATGAGAGTTCTCTTTGTTCTCCCCTTTCTATTACTTTTTCATCAAAAGACAGGATATGTACTGATGAGTTTTGATAAGCATTAACATATTTATGCCAAAATTTATTATCTATCAGGCTTGTTATCTTAAAAACAAACAATTTTAAATAATATACATATTTGCATTAATTTACTTAAAAATAAAGTTTGTCACTGTATTGCTATTAGAAAGCATTATGTAATGTGTTCTCTTAAAAAATTCATTTATCTGATAGGTGTTTATTAAATGCCTATTGAGTCCTAGGAACTTTTTAGAAGTTTGATATTATGCAGGAAATAAGATAAACCCTTCATCACCAAAGACTTCACCTTCTTGGGATGCAGGCAGACAATACACAAATAAATATATTGATATCAAGTGCTAAAAAAATGCTATGGGGAAAGCTAGATGAAGGTAAGGGAATAGAGAATTAAGAAGAAAGTGACAGAAAATATCAAGGGAAGTGTGAGAAAAACATTACTAGTGACTCTAATTGTTAATGGTATAACTAGTTTTAAAAATATAAGCAGTTTAATCTGCTCTGCTCACCTATACAGCAAAATTAATTTCTGCTGTGTTTCCTAGGAACATGAATTCCTTAATAACTTCATATATTCTTTTTGATAAAACAAAATATTTACTACATGAGCAAATTATGACATGTAAATATATATGCTATTTTAGTAAGTAAAGATAATAGTCTGTCAATAGTAAAAAACAAACTGGAGATTCCCAGAACAAAATTCAAAAATAGTGCATAGGGCTATATAACATTGTAGCAATATTTAAAGAAAACAGAACCCAAGTCCAAGTATAATTTTATTTTTTGCTAGTGGTATTATACTGGTCTCTGAATGAATTGGTCTCTTTAATGAATTATCTTACAGAATGTGCCTAGCACAACTTCCTTGGTATAATGGAGATACAGTAAACCACAGGTTCTTTCGTTCCTCCAAAGTATGAAAACAAAATTTATTAAAATAAGAAAATAAGTAGTTGTTTTATTGAAAATCAGATTTTAAAATACTTTTTTTAGTATAATGGTACATATGCTTATTATAGAAATGTTGGAAAAGGCAGGAAAGTATAATAAGAACTTATGTATCAGGCCGGGCACAGTGGGTCATGTCTGTAATCCCAGCAGATTGGGAGGCCAAGGCAGGCAGATCACCTGAGGTCAGGAGTTTGAGACCAGACTGACCAACATGGTGAAACCCCGCCTCTATTAAAAACACAAAAAATTATCCCGGTGTTGTGGTGTGCTCCTGTAGTCCCAGCTACTTGGGAGGCTGAGGCTGCAGAATTGCTTGAACCCAGAAGGCAGAGGTTGCAGTGAGCTGAGATCATGCCACTGCACTTCAGCCTGGACTACAGAGTGAGACTCCATCTCAAAAAAACAGACAAACAAACAAACAAAAAACTATATATCAACAATCTGGAGATATTGCCGTTATTTTGTTGCATTCCTATGCATATAATACATACATACATGTATATGCATGAGCATATATATAACAGGTGTGTATATATATATATGTACAATGTGTATATATGAAATATGTGTGCAGTATACCATAGAATCCTTCTTATTGAATATGATGATGTGGGGAGGACTTCTTTGATCATTTAATCAAAAATGTCAATTTACATAGGAAATCACTTAAAAATACTGTAAATATTTTGTTTTAATTTATAAAATATAACTATATAATCATTTGACAATTTTGTGATATAGAAGTTATTATAATCCCAGGTTCTTTCTTAAGTCACATCCATAATGCATCACCTATAATTTCCTGTTTGTCTATTTTTCTCTTCCTTTTTCATTTCTTTCTTTTTTTCTCCTCCCTCCCTCCCTCCCTCCCTCCCTTCGTTTTTGATGAAAGGAAAACATAAACATACCAATAATCTCTATGAATGGCTTTAGAGATTTTTGTGATTTTTCCTACTACTTAACTTTTATTTTTCCCTCACAAAATTCATCAACAACATTTTAGCAGCTCATCTTTATTGAATTCTCCAAAGCACTCAACCTAGTTTTCTTAGAAATAAAATCTGTCTTTTCTCTGTATTTGTATTTCATTAATTTATGCAATATTCAATCAAATTACATATGAATATCACAACACTAATGAGCATAAACAGATTTGGAAGCAACTTAGATATTGATAAGCCTAAAATTCAACAAGAGGGAATTGAAGTGGGAAGAGTATTTAACATGGTTGGATGCCATCCAGGATATTTTATAGACGGATCAGGGAGAATCAGTTAATCCAGCCAGATCAGTTGGAAATTACTTAAGAAGGTTTATATAATTGAGGATTATATTAGAAATATATCAGAAAACATGACTTTGATACATACTATTTCAGTCTTTAAATATTCCAGAATTTACCTAAGGAATCCTACATCATATTGATAATGAAATATCATGTGTACAATATTTTCCTTTATTTTTGATTATTTTCTCAGGGTATTTTCGTATAAATTAATTGCTATCTTAGCAAGTATAAACAGTGGGTTGGGGGGAGGGGGGAGGGATAGCATTGGGAGATATACCTAATGCTAGATGACGAGTTAGTGGGTGCAGTGCACCAGCATGGCACATGTATACATATGTAACTAACCTGCAGATTGTGCATGTGTACCCTAAAACTTAAAGTATAATAATAAGAAAAAAAAGTTAAAAAAAATTTTTTTTCAAATTTTTGACTCATATATCCAAATGTATTTCTTAAAAGTTTGTAACAATTTACATTCACTTCTTAAATTAAAATAAAACAAAGCAAAACCGAAAAAGCAATAGACAAAAATCCTTGACAGTTTGATGTGCAAAGCATATTTTGTTCATTTTAATTTACATTTTAGGTTTTAAAATTATGAACAAAGATTTCAATTCATAGAGCAAATTGATTGTGTTTAGCAGGTTATAATAAAGCCAGGACGCCATTCTTTATTCGTGTTGGAGAAGATTTAAGTGTAAATGGGTTTAAGTATAAATGGGTTGGGTTATAGGGGAGATTTTTCCATAACGGTTATTAAAATCTGGACATGAAGCACAGGGAGACTGGTAGAATCTTTTCACAAACAGGACCCATCCTGTTTTACAGCTTGAGTGCTGGAAGCCTGGGAGGACAACCATGAAACATACTACAGTCCTTTTTTGTTCTATTAATCTATCACATGAACCCATGTGCTATTTTCCTTTTTTCAACTCTACTCAAAGTTGAAGAAATGTTTGCACAATTGCATTTTGCTTAGCTTCTAATTTACCAGTGTTTGAAGGATTTGTGATCTGAAATTAGTTTGCCCTTCAAAGTATTGATTTAAAAAAAAAAGCTGTTGGTTTCTGCCTGTTGCTTTTCTTATTCGTCTAGTTATTCAGCTGCAAAATGCAAATATATTTTGCAGGCTTCAGTGCCAGGACAGCTTTCTTAGAGACCTTCTGATTGAAGGGAAGTGCTGAGACATATCCCTTAAGAGGAGAAGTCTCTTGCTTTCAGAGTTCCACTATTGTTATGGTAGATCCTAATCAGTTTTGACATGATAAGCTTTCATATTCACAAATGAGTCATTTTTGCTTAGAAAAAAATGGAGCCAAATAGACCAGTCTTCTCATTTCAGAGGTGCATGTCACTTGTAAATTAAATTTATCCATAACCACATCAAATAAGCGTGATAAATATAAATAAAACTCATCTTTGGAAAATAATTTCATAGTTGTTTTTCTCTCAGTTATGTTATATAATATAGGGGAACCAAAAACTGTAAAATTATTATAGTCATGATTACTATGTGCTACTCCTAACTGTGACTTTCACTGTAATCTCTGGATGTTTTGTGTAACATACCTGGAGGACAGGGCTTATGGCAGAATTGGCCATCATGATGCAGGCCTTCCAAGTTCTGAGTCTCAACTGTAGTAACAGTCTTCCTCAATTCCAATCCCTTGGAGTTGATGTCAGTCACTTGGGCATTAACACTTTTGGACGATAATCTAGCAACAGACGTAAGAACCTGTAAAATAAAAGCATGAAGAGAATTTTATTGATTTCTGAAGTAAGCAACGTGGTAAACAAGTGTAACCCACCCAAAATTGGCAGTATCTGCTGTGCACAGGCAAAGACAATGTGAGGGCTCCACTGTCTTTCAGATTTCTCTCTCCAAGAAAGCAGCAGGTCACTTGTATAGCAGTTTGGATCTCAGGTTCTTCAAACCACACTAGAAACAGCACCATGAATGATAGAAGCCAGGTGTTCTAAGGTGAACAGGGCCTCCCACTTACTGCCCTGTGTTTGTGGGTAAAATCACTTACATTCTCCAAGTCTCAGTTTCTTTATCTATAAGTGGAAATAACCTCTTCCTCACAGGCTTGTTGTGAAAATACGTGGAATAATGCACTTAAAGCTGTTAGCACAGAACCTGGCACATAACAAATACATGCCCAATAAGTGTGCTACTTTTATTATTAAAGTTTCAGTGAGGGGGAGCATAGTGGAGAAGGAAAGAGAAATTTCAAAACAACTGTGGTTTGAACCCCAGGTCTGCCACCAAAGATGCATATCTGAGAAAGGCAAAGAGACAGAGGGAGAGAGAGAGTCCCCTACGGGTATAGTGCCCTGCCCTCCTTGATATACTAAATTCACCCAATATTTAGGAGACAGTATTATGAGAAGGGCCACAATTCCTGGTTTAAATCATCAAGTACCCAGGTGACAGATTACACAGAGTGCGAGAAATGATTTGTCCAATAATTCACAGTTAAGAGTGGCTAACAAGAGACTCAGGACCAGGACTTCTGGCCCAAATCTGGGCTGTTTCATATTTGTAGAATAGTTTCCTAAATATTTTACTCCATCTAGGTATGCAAACAACTCCATTTGTTTTAAGACAATTATTGGCAAGAAGCCTGCAAAGAACCTTCAAAACAAATGGATACTGGGGAAAGGGGAGGTGTTTGGCAAGAATTCGCTAAGAACCAGAATCCAGCCCCAAGACCTCCAGTCTGGGAAAACTGTAGCAAGACCCCTAAAGCCAGGGCTCTTGCTGGCGGGGAAGGCAAAACTTGCCAGCCCTGCCCTGAAGCTTGGGAAGAAGCTGAGTTTGTGTTCCCCTCCCTCCAGTTTGGGCACTGAATTTCTCAGAACAGCCGTTACCATGACTGCAACCTCTCGCAGGGGTGAGGAAATGGAATGCACAGACAAATAGTTAGAAGCTGGAAGTCATCCTAAGCTAGAATCTGTGCATTTGCTCCCTTTGAACCTCTCAGAAACAGGGACACATGAAATTTGTTCTTTGTATCCGATGACAAGAACCTGAGAGAACAATTGGATATTCACCCATTGCCTGCAGCATCAGTGAGGAAGAATCACTTTTCATAGCCAACCAGGTTACAGAGTAGAAGAAATGATGCAAGAATTAGCAGACACAGAAGATAATGACTGAAACTCTGCCCTAGCACCATGGCAGTCTGAAAGGATCTCCACACTTTCTCAGGAATAGTCAGCCCTCGGATCTAGCATGACGGTTACAAATAGAGCAACAGCTCAATGACCGAATTAAACTAACTACTGGAAGAAATATAGACCCCCATTCAGGCTTATTCCAGTGTCAGTGTGGCAAATGGCCTTGATGAGCTAGGATCTGAAAAGGAACCAAAAGAAGGAAGAAAAAAACCCCACAGACAAAATAAAAGCATATTACCTTCTTACCCCCTGTTTTTATTGAAGTTCAAAGCAAACAGGAAAAGACTTTTAAAAAGAAGCACAAAAAAAAAAAAAAAGGCATTCAGTGGTGAGAAATGACAGCCCTCAGCATGGCAAGAATGAGTAGACAGATGCCTGGAACAGTCAGTGAGAATTCTCAATTTTGAGCACAGCATCACACTGCAAACGGTTTGTTGTGATTTAGAGAGACAAAAGCAAGCTTTAGAGTCATCACAGTGAAGAGGGTTTTACTTTGTTTTTGTTGTTGTTGTTTTGTTTTGTTTTGTTTTAGACGGAGTCTTGCTCTGTCACCCAGGCTGGAGCACAGTGGCACAATCTAGATCTTGGCTCACTACAACCTCTGCCTCCGGCATTCAAGCAATTCTCCTGCCTCAGCCTCCCGAGTAGGTGGGATTACAGGAATGCACACTATGACGGCTAATTTTTTGTATTTTTAGTAGAGACGGCATTTCACCACGTTGGCCAGGCTAATCTCAAACTCCTGACCTCAGAAGATGCTCCCGCCTCAGCTTCCCAAAGTGCTGGGATTACAGGCATGAGCCAACGCACCCGGCCAAGAGGATTTTACCTCTAGGCAAAGCCCCCACAAGGGAATTTCTTCAATATGACCATTGTGCTCAGCTACTGCAGAAAAAAATGCCCTATTGATGAGGGGGTATAACGGTGGTCCAGAAAATTCAACAGTAGAAGGTTAGGGATTAAGAAAATGAAAAGTGAAAGAAAAGAGGGACATTTCAAGAAAAAAAAAGTTTCAGCAGCATATTATCTTTTAACACACAGAAATTTTAATGGTGCTTATTTCTAGTTGATAAGACTATTTTTCTTCATTTTGCTAAACTCATCTTTTCTTGATAATGCATATGTGTTTGTTGTATAATAAAAAAGTTTAAAAGGTAGCAGGGTTGTGTTGAGCCTAAAGATCTATACTGATTTATCATAACGAACTGTGTTATTATTTTTTAGTAAAATAGAAAATCTGGGTAATAATGGTAGTAAATCTATAACAGCAACTTAGTATTTGAAAGGTGGAAAAAATTCTAAACCTTTGAATTATCAACATTGAATTCTTTATATAAATTTTGGTTATTTTGCTCTTCTAGTTTTCTTTGGTAGTCTTATAATTTTACTAAATCAAACATCACAAATATTAACCTCTGTTTCATCGGATATATTTTCTTAAACCAGCATAATCAAAGCCATTTTATTTCTCTTTGGTCCTCTAGGACTAAATATATCACCACTCATTACAGCAACGTTGTTTGATGGTAAAGAAAATTCTCTTTTATTTTTGAAGTAAAATTACTGGACACAAAAATATGTTACACTAAAGAGAACTTTTTAATTTTTGAAATTGAAAGCTCAGTTATACAAATCACCAGAAACTGGTAAGTACAGTTTGCAGTAATTTCTGTCTCTGATGAAATCTTGGTTTATTTTTTCTTAAAGAATACTTACCATGGAAATGTACTTTATTAACCACACCCTGATAGATTCCCATGTCAAAAATGCAACAGGAGTTGCTGGTTGCCAATGAGACAATAAGATAAACAAAAAGTACCTCATAATTTAGGATCTCATTGCGCTGTTACTGAACTAGGAATAAACAGATATGTTTCTCAGAACAACTGTCTATTTTTATGCCTCTAGAGATGACATGGGTTAACTTTCTTGTGTGGCTTATAAACTGAAAAAAATCTAATAATGCAGTATTGTTTAGGCACCCATAGAGACTGCTCTGGGAAGAAAGACACATATAAGTTCTAGGAGGTTTGTCTTAAAATATTACGAATATTATTTTACATTTGAACCGAGTATTTTTGAAAGTGCACTTTATTATACAAGTATAATAGTTACCCTTCCATACGAGCTCAATAAAATAAAATGCTTAGCTTAAAAGTCACTTAGAAATGCATGTTAATAGATTTATCTGAAAGTTAGACATCTCAAATTGAAAGTGGACATTTTAACCCCTGGCTTTGAATTTCAAATAAATTGATGAAAATAGATGGGTTATGGGGTTCTACAGGAAAGAGTGCTCCCCACCCCATTCCTCTCAGAATGCAGCAAAGAAGTAACAGAAGGCAGAGGGGTACTTGAGAGAACAGTAGAAACAGAAAGTGAGATTTTATTTTATTTTATTTTATTTTATTTATTTATTTATTTTTTTGAGACGGAGTCTCGCTCTGTTGCCAGGCTGGAGGTGCAGTGGCGCGATCTCGGCTCACTGCAAGCTCCGCCTCCCGGGTTCAAGTGACTCTCCTGCCTCAGCTTCCCGAGTAGCTGGGACTACAGATGTGCACCACCAGGCCCAGCTAATTTTTGTGTTTTTAGTAGAGACGGGGTTTCACCATGTTGGCCAGATGGTCTCAATCTCTCGACCCCGTGATCCGCCTGCCTCGGCCTCCCAAAGTGTTGGGATTACAGGCGTGAGCCACCATGCCCGGCCGAATTTTTTTTTGTAAAGGGGAGTGTTGACACCAGCAAAGCATCCAGTTAGCTTCTAAAATTTTAAACAATTAAACTAAATGTTGGTATCTCATTATATTTACAATTTAGAGCAGAAAGGACTTTATAGATGACCTAGCCCAAACCCCTTTTCTGATAGAGATGGCAGTATCCCAACTGGTGAAGTGACTGGCCCACAGTCATGCATCTAGCAAAGGAGATTCAGGACTGTCATGGGCTAAACTGTGTCCTCCCCCAACTCCCAAATTCATATAGTGATACTGATACCCTAACTTCCTGAGCATCCGAATGTGACTGTATCAGGAGATAGGGTCTTTACAGAGGTGATTAAGTTAAAATGGTGTTAATAGGGTAAGCCTTAATCCAATGTGACTGGTGACATTTTAAGAAGAGGAAATTTGGTATATACAACTTCCAGAGCTCTTGTATTTGGAAGGCCGGAAGGGTCCAGACTTTGGAAGAGTGTCTTGGCTTCACTGTTTTTGTTTTGATTTTTTTTTTTTTTTGCTTTTTTTTAACTAAAGCTATATAAAGCTTGTAGACAGTATAAATTTCTAAATTAAAAAAAAAGAAGAGGAAATTTGGACACACATACAAACAGAGGAAGATAATGTGAAGACACATGGAAAAGAAGGCCATCTACAAGCCTGAACAGATCCTGCCCTCGTGGTCCTCAGAAGGAACCAGTCCAGTTGGCACCTTGATATCAGACTTCTAGCCCCCAAAACTGTAGCCACCCAGTTGGCAGTCCTAAGAATTTAATATAAGGAATGAACTATAGTCTCTTGATTCTCTTGGATTCTTGATTTGTGAGACATTAGTGTTACATATAAACTTGGGATCCCTCACAGCTGAGCCCAAGAATTTCCCATCTTGGATGATCACTGAGCTAAATAGGCAAGAGATTTCCCATGGTCTTCAGAACTAGAATTAGCAGGTGCCAATATGAACTAGAGCTACTTCTTTCCAGACTTATTGGTCCTGCTAGGCTGGGTTGAAATCTCACCACCCTCTACTGCTGAGGACAAAAATGGAGCAAGAAATGAAGTTCCACCGACTAATTCTGCTTGTCTGCTTGTAGACTTTCAGTTACTTATCAACACTTGAGGAAAAAGAAATTCTAAAAGACTAATAGTTTATTATTGAATAGTTTAAAATTTCCAATAAGATAATGCATCTCTAATATATCTGTGTAAAAAACAGGGATATAGTGATGTCATCTTGTCCTACTACATTATTGAAAACCTGAAATAGAAGTAAAATAAATTTTTCTACATGGAAGAGATAAGCAAAGATCCCATTCATTTGTATGTTTTTCAAAATCTGTACATAAAAATACACATGGTAATCTTATCCCAGGGATGTCCTCTTTCTTTCTTAAAGCCAATCTCTGGAAAGTCCAGGACAGAGGTAGTTGAAGCAACAGTTGCAAGTTACTGATTAGATCCATGACTGGCCAAGCCATAAATAAAATAAAATGAATGAGCCTAGGAAATTCCATCTGAAATTACATTTTGAGTTTAGTGCTAGAGTCAGAAAAATAGTTCTCAAGACCCCGACAGACATCAGAATCCTGTAGTGATGCATTATTTAATAAAAAGTGCTAAGGCCCCTACATAGACCTAAGGAATCAGGATCTCTGAGAATGGGGAAGTACCCTTGGTGATTTTGAGGTTCATCACAGTTGCAGGGCAACTAGGTTAGAGGAAGCAGAATCTGAGGTTAGCAGGTTACTACATTTACATGTGAGAATATAAGAGTTTTATAGACTAATGGCATCTGTGTTCAGCACTTGCAAATCAGAATTTGACTTCTCATGAAGAAATAATGACCCTTCCAAAAATAAGCTTGAAGATAAGAGAAATGACCTTTGGTAGAGGAAATGGGTAATGTAAGGGCTATAGAGTCCTAAAATACAGCCCCAGAGCCCTTACAAGCCCAGAGGGGCCACGTGGGTCATACAAGAATAAAGCAACCTGGGATAAGGGACTACAGAGAGAGGGAGGGGCTTGGGACCAGCTCTGCCTGTGGCCACTACCTGTGGGCAGTATAGGCCCAGGGTTTTTTTGTATTATTTTTATTCGACAAATAAAAAAATTATATATATTTATGGTATATAACATGATGTCTTGAATTATGTACATATTTTGGAAGATAATTATGTACATATTTTGGAAGATAATTAGCTAAATCGAGCTAATTACATTGGGCATTCCTTCACATACTTATCATTTTCTTTTGTGTGTGTGTGGCGAGAACACTTAAAATCTACTCTTAGTAATTTTCAAGTATACAATACATTGTTATTAGCTATAGACATCAAGTTGTACACTAGATCTCTTGAACTTATTCCTCCTAACTGAAATTTTGTATCCTTTGACCAATATCTCCCTAAATCCCCCAACTTTGCCCCCAACTAGCCTCTGGTAACCACTATTCTACTCTCTACTTTTATGGATTCAAAACTTTTAGATTCCACATATAAACGAGATCATGCAGTATTTGTCTTTCTGTGAGTATAGGCCCAATTTTTAAAATCAAGCCTGAAACCTTACAGACATTCACATGAAAAAAAACAACAACAACCAGTTAATTAGGACCAATGATCTCTGTGAGAATGGCTAAAAACCAAAGCTAAATCCTCAGCAAAAAAACAAGAGTCTTCACCCGCATACTCTGACTTCCTCTCGCTCTCTTTTTCAAGATATCTGCCCTCACAAATAAAAAGTATTCACATTTCTCATATCTTATATTTTTATAGCCTCACAAAACACAGAGGTGAATAGAAACACAATGCTGCCTGACTTCATTGAAGGACAGGCTATCATTAATGAATCCAATGTCAAATTGTCAAATTTACTCTAATTTTGCCAGTTTATCCCAGTCCATGCCTTAACACAACCTATAGTAAGCTTGCTCACTTTGCTGGGCTGAGTACATCTGCTGATTGAATTTGTAGTCAGATTTGCTAATTCACAAGGCTGGCCTTGCTCTAAAGGTATGATTTTTTGTTTCTTTGTTTTCTTTGTAGACGGAGTCTCACTCTGTCGCCCAGCCTGGAGTGCAGTGGCATGATCTTGGCTCACTGCAACTTCCACCTCCCAGGTTCCAGTGATTCTCCTGCCGCGACCTCCCGAGTAGCTGAGATAACAGGCACGCCACCACACCCAGCTAATTTGTGTATTTTCAGTAGAGTTGGGTTTTTGCCATGTTGGCCAGGCTGGTCTCAAACTCCTAATCTCAAGTGATCCATGATCCACCCACCTTGGCCTCCTGAAGTGCTGGGTGACAGGTGTGAGTCACCTGCCCAGCCTAAAGGTATAATCTTATACTAAATTCACTATCATTTCTACTTAGTGGGACTCAGGCTAGTTGTCCTATATAACTATGATTGCCATTTCTAAATGTCTAAAGATGGGGTGACTGGGCTGTACAACAGTTTATTTCAAATCAAGAAAGCAGTTGTGATCAAAGGGAAGAACCACCTCATTTCCTTCCGGGGAAGGTGAAGTTACCAATCTTACAAAAGTCAATTTCTCTCTGATTTGGGCTTTACTACTCACACTGTCACTTCAAAGACAGTAAAGGTAGGCAAGTGGACTGAAGATTTGTTCCTGCTTGAGACTGAATTGAAGATATTTAATTGGTGTTAGAAGTAGAACTATATAAAAAGCTAAAGACTTTTTTTAAAGCAAGGATTTTCCAGAAAATAAAGAGGATTTATTAAATGTTATTTTTCCACTTTTATGAATATATATATACATACATAGCAAAAAGAAAACTACACACTAAGGCTATTGTAGTGTTGTACCTTATAAGGAAGTACAAGGTACAACATATAAAATTATGTTGCTTTTTATCGTTTTGAATTATTTTATTATTTTTCATCACAAGTCCTAAAATTTTAATATGTAAGTTCTATGAGTAATTTTTTAGTAACAAGAAAAAGTCATATATATATATGTATCCCAGTACATTTAAGAAATGCTTTTTTTCAATAGTAAATTATAAAAATAAGTAATAAATTAAAAAATAAATAATAAAAATTATAGTAATCCCAGCTCATTTAATAAATGCTCTCTCTATAATGTATCCAATAAAAAATATGAGATAAAAATTATGTAGAAATAGAAAAAGGTTTGTGTAACATGCAAAGGAACAAAAAACAGACTATATATAGCTCAAATTAAACATGCAATTATGTATATGTGTAGACAAGGCTAAGAATTTATAAGTAAAATCAAAATTCTTTACATTAGTGTGGTGAGATAAAGTATAAATGTAGTTTTTAAATATTTGCTTTTTGTTTCACATCATGTGGTCATTTTTTCTATATTTACCTATTTAAAAATAAGAAAGGGATGGGTTCACTGTCCTAAATTTGGTTTCAAGTTGCTTTTTATCAATTTCAAGTTTTAAATTGTGTTATTTTATTTTTCATCATAAGTAAATAGTCTTTAGTACCTATTACAAAACATGTGCTCATCAAGGGACTTTTGGGGCCCAAGATAATTTGCCAAAAGCAATTAACTTCCTAGGGGCTTTCAAGTGGGGGGATTTCCTTACTTAGGTTTCAGACCATCTCTTAAGAAACAGTTATTCTCTCAAACTGGCAGTTTACTCTGGTAATCTGGCACCCCTAAAGCAATGTAGTAGCCTTCAAAGAGATTCCTTTGAAACACTGACACTTCTCCTATGTGTCAGTATAAGAGTATTCAGAAGGAAATTACTTGTCCAGTGTCTCAAAGAGCTTACTCAGAGACAACGTCCAAATTCCAGAACTTCTTTGCCTCTAATTTGCTGCTAAGGGTGGTAACTGTATTTCAGGCATGAACATTAGAGGATTTTTCATCAGTCTAACTATAGCTGGTAGTGGGGGTGCTGCCATTTATCAATTTAATTTTTGCTTGCAAACCTGGCCATCATTTACAAATTTGTGTTTTTCCATCCTGGTTGCTAATGTCTTAATTCATATTTTATCATTTTATTGTATTTGTAAGACTTCTCAAGTCCTTTGTGATGTAAATATGGCCCATTAAAAATGAAAATAAACAGCCCAATATGTTCGTTAGGTTGGCTTAAGAAAAATTATTAAATTACAAATTAAGCTACAAAAATAAATAAATATTCCATTTTATGCTCTTTGGGTTGGTTTAAGAAAAATGATTAAATTACAAATTAAATAACTGTTCTTTATTTTCCCCACAAAACTATTCTGTATGACTGCTTGTAAATACACAGCTTTATTTTCCAAAGGCCCTCTCCCTTTCCTTTGACCATAAGATAACCATTCTACAAAATGTAAAGGAGAGCAAACTGGCTGTCCAGTGATTGCCTGGCCAATGTCCTAAATAATGCAAGACAAAACCTGTTGGGGCCCAATAAAATAAAAATCCATGGACTCTTAGAGGCTTCGGAATTCAAATGAGCCTCATGGATCCACATCCCTTCAATTAGCAAGCTGGCATTTCTGAGCGAGGGACTTTCCAAAACAGGCTGCTCAAGTTTCTTGGCCAATAACAGGGTCATGCACAATAAAAAAAAAAAATGCAACCCACAGCTATTTCTCAAATTAATTTGTAAAGTAAGTTTGACTCTTTTTCTGTCTCCTTTAGAAATTTGTCAACTTTTTGGGATTTCAAACTTTTTTATTGTAAGTGTCGGAGTAAAAACACTCAGAAATAGGAAAGAGAAAACTAACACCAGGAAGGTTGAGAGAAGGAAAGAGAAAGAGAAGCAAAAGGGGTTAAGGATGGGGATACTTGTTGACTATAGTTATCACCAGAGTCAGAGGACTAGGGGAAGAGGGGAAAAGCAGAAAACAGCTCCCCACCCATCTATGTCCAGCCCATTAATAGAATTAAAATTTGCTTCTGTATTCCAAGTAATTAGCACTTTGCATCTATTTTATTTATTGCTACTACTAAGAAAACATAACCGTGAAGGCATAAAAGCAAACATTTTCTGTAGACACATGAGGTGACACAAGAGTGTTGAAACTTCTTTAAGGATAAAGGCCTGATGTTAGGCATGTCGTGAGCGCAAAACCAATTTCTGTGTAACTAAATTTAAAAGAGTCATATTAGAGGGGAGAAATGGAAGATAAACTGCAAAACGTAAACAATGATTACTTAGGTGATAGAGTTATGTCTGATCTTTGTATTTGACTCATCTGCATTTATAAATTTTATTTAATAAGCCTTAATTTCCTAGGCCATATATCATATACAAATATAAGTTATACCTAACTTATAGGTATTATAATATGTATATATACATAAATGTATGAATATTTACATATGCGTGTGTGTGTGTATTCTTTCAGAAAAGCAAAGTTTTCTTCGGGCTTTAAACACGCAGCCTCTGGTAAAGGTGCTATTGGTACAAAAGTTCAACAAGCATAGCTCCAAGCTTTGACAATTTTCTTACACTTTACTAATACTGCTGTCCAAAAACTATGAGATTTTCAAAGCAGCCAACATTGCAGTGGTGCAATGGTTAATAACAAGAGAGAGAAGAGTGTGGCCTGAGGTTGTATAAATGTTTTCTCAATCTTGAATCATTAATTTTCTCCAAGGAAGTTTCTAAAGAATCCCAAATAGTGCACACTATTTCTGAAAGGAACAGGATTTTTTTTTCTAATCATAAAATGGACCCAGACATCTCAGCCTCTTGGTGTAATCTGGATATCAGATGCAATCAGCGAACAGCCTGAGTTTTGGAATTAGATCTGAGTTCAATCCCATATCTCCCATTTACTAGCTGTGTGATCTTGGCTGAATTACTGAAGCTCTCTGAACCTCATTTCGCCATCTGTAAAATGGGGATGTGGTTATCTTCCCCACTACATGGCTCTCGTGAGAATCCGCGGAGATCACATTTGTAAACACTTCTCTCGCTATGCCTGGCACTTTGTTGGGGCCCAATAAAATAAAAATCCATGGACTCTCAGAGGCTCCGGTACTCAAATGAGCCTCCTGGATCCACGTCTCTTTGATTAGCCATCTGCAAGCTGGCATTTCTGAGCGAGGGACTTTTCAAAACAGGCTGCTCAAGTTTCTTGGCCAATAATAGGCGCCGGGTTCTGTGCGGTGGGAACGAGTACCACCAACCCCAGCAGGAGACCAAGCAGAAATCACCATGGGAGTGCAAGCTAAGAAAGGGCAAAAGAAGAAAGAGAAGGGCAGAAAAACAAAACAAAATGAAACCACTCAGGCAGCGACTTACAGTCTTAAAGAGAGAATTCCCGGAAGGGAGACAAGGCAGTTTCTTTTTCTGTGTGACAATAAAAAACGGTAAACAAGCCTCCAGAAGCTCATTCAGCCCCCATATAACTTTTTCGAGAAAGAAAAGGTGCCGTTCTTCCGAGCCCTCCGGCTTAACCACTGCTTCGGTGCTGACTTATTTCCTACGTCTGAGAACTGCCAGAAAATGAGCAATATCTGTTCTGAAGGCTGCAGGCTCTCTCCCCGCCCCCGCGGGGCGGCGCGCACTCACCCACCCGCGCCGGAGCGGACCTTTGGCTTGGCTTGTCAGGGCTTGTCCAGGAGTTCCGCTCCTCTCTCCAACCGGGGTCCCCCTCCAGCGACCCTAAAGCTTCCCAGACTTCCGCTTCAATTCCTGTCCGCACCCCACGCCCACCTCAACGTGGAGCGCAGTGGTCTCCGAGGAGCGCCGGAGCTGCCCCGCCTGCCCAGCGGGGTCAGCACTTCGCATCAAGGCCCAAGAAAAGCAAGTCCTCCAGCGTTCTGAGCACCCGGGCCTGAGGGAAGGTCCTAACAGCCCCCGGGAGCCAGTCTCCAACGCCTCCCGCAGCAGCCCGCCGCTCCCAGGTGCCCGCGTGCGCCGCTGCCGCCGCAATCCCGCACGCGTCCCGCGCCCGCCCCACTTTGCCTATCCCCGGGACTAAGACGGGGTAAGCCTCCACCCGGGCAGGAGAGGGCTCACCAGAGGTAGGAGGGTCCAGATGCCCAGCATGGTTGTTGAGCAATCCTCCGAAGTGAAAGAGCTTCCCCAACTCCGTACTGAGCGGGTCCACCAACCCGCGGGAGAAGAGGCAGCTCCGCCTGGGCAGCCAGGGCTGGCCTCAGGGTGTGTTCCGTGCCAGTGCCCGCCCCTGAGGCTCCAGCCAAGTCACTCGTAAACCGCTTCCCTCACTCCCCAGAAGCGTCTTTGAACACCTGTGTGTCACTCTTGCGCGAGATCAGAGACGAGCTCACGAAAAGCCCCGGTGGTCAGGAGGATGGGAAGGAAGCCTCGCTGGGGAACGCCCGGGTTGGGGAGGGCTCCATTGATTCAGCAACTTGGCCTGCGCGCGGGTAGGGAGGGGGAGAAGTCAGGGTGAGGAAGGAGTCAGGGTTCGTTGCACAAATGGGCATTCCTGTCCCGGGGCGTTCCTGCAGTGGCTGGCATGCTCACTTCAGGTGAGGACCTCGAGAGCCGGCCTCCTGCCCTTTCTAAAGGCTTCTGCTGTAGTTCAACCTGGGAAGTTGGGGAGGTCTTGAAGGAGAATGGAGCTCAGAGCGCAGAGGTCCTGCCTGGGTACAGGAGCCTTGGCTAATTGCTGGAGTCACTCAGAGAAAGACTTGCGGGGCATTTGACTGGGCTGTCCATGTTGTGGCTGCAACATGAGAGGCTCACAGACGTTTCTGGAATGGACAGTTAACCATATGAAAAAGTACAGATGTTGCGCCATAGGGCTCTGAAAAGGGAGGGCCCCTTAGTTTTTATTTCTCAAGAGGAAAACAAAGCTAACAACTTAAGCCAAATCGCATAGCCCCAGCTATATTAAACATTCACAATTACTTCCTGTCCTTCGTTACTCATTATTTCCTGGCCAATTTTCTTTAAAAAAAAATCTTGTAATTCTTTCGTGCTCTGGTGAACACTGTTCAAAGTCACTATTGCTTTGGAACGGTAGATAGCTCTTAGGTAGTTTAGCATGAATTTTACAGAAGGTATGTTTGGATAATGACATCATTACTGAACCTGAATTTGGATGCAGTTCCAGACTGGACACACTAAAGGTTTCAGTATTCCTTTGGCATCGTCCACCAAGCTCTGCACCTCACTCTGCAACCTCTCTCCCTTCCCAATTAGATTCAACCCATTAATAACACATTAATAACCCTTTGCTTAGCCCACTGTTCATCCTTCAGGCTTCCTCTCAGTTGACATTTTCTTCTGGAGCCTGTTTGGGCCCTCAAATCTAGGTTAGGTTACCCTCCTGAGGGCTTTCCATCACCCTGTGTTTTGCATCTGTCACTGCACTTACCACCAGTCTTGTAGGTGTTGATAGGCTTGTCTCTGTTCCACCTTTCAGTAGACTGTTAGTGCCATGAGGAAGACCCTGGGCGTGCCAGCCTTGTGCACACACTCTGAGCATCTAATAGACACAAAAAGAAGTGGGATAAGGAGGATGGTATATGGGCATTCTCTGTATTATCTCTGCAAATTTTTTGAAATCCTAAAACTATTCCAAAATGAAAAGTTCATTTAAATAAAAAAATGTAAAAAGAAGGAAGGAAAAGGGGTGTGAGGGAAGGAAAGGAGAGGTAAGGGAAGAAGGAATGGAAGGAGGGAAGAGAGAAAAAAAGGGGAAAGGACAATTGACAAAATCAGTATCTCTTGAGTGTGAATTATAAGCCAGCAACTCACATATGTGGATCTTCCTTACTTAATACTTATCATTATAGCCCAGTGAGATGAGTGATTATTAAACTTACTTTACAAATAAAAAAATGTAGCCAAAAAAGCTTAAGCAACATTGGCAAAGATGGTTAGTTAATAAATAGCAGAGTCAGGAATTAAACTTAGATATTCTTGCTCCCAAGGTCCTGCTCTTTCTATGCCATACCCCCTTCCCCTACCCTCTGCCCACGTACGTCTAATTATCCTCAAGTTCAAGGAGATAGGAATATGTGCTTTGTGGGGAGACATATGTTTCATGGTCAAATAATCTTAGAAAATTCTGGGTTACTTTAATTTGAAAACTTTCTGAATCCAAAACTTCTCAGGGCCCTTAGTATGCTAATGTCAAAGGGTTGGGTAATTATATATACTGTTCCCCAAACTTCTTTGCCTTTGGAATCCTTTGAAGAATCTATTGAATGAACACCTAATGAATGCTGGTGTTCTGGGGAAAACAGTTTGGGCATCTCTAAAGGTTATTTTTATTTTACCAGCATATTCCTGAGAGTCCTCAGGCCTTCAAGGGCAAAGAAATAAAATTTTAATAATAGAATTTCAGGCACTCCAACAGATGTTGGAGATATTTTGGACAACCATCCTTATTCAAACCATACCATATAAGTTAAAGCTTCTACTCAAAAGATATCCTGGTTTCTGAACATTCTGAATAACACTTAAACAAGAATCTTGACTATGTAAAAAAACAGGAAGAGTTAAGATAAAAAACAAAACAAAAAAAAAAAAAAACTTCTACATCTTTTTACCACTAAGACTTTTGTTCTTTTCCCCTTTGGTCCTAATGTTTAAAAAATGTTGTCAACCAAATTGTTTTTACTAAATTGCAATAAGTTGATTTTAATAACTCCCAGCTATAGTGTATATCCATGACTGTTTATCCTGCCTTTCTCCTTCTTCTTCCTTCTGGTAATAGTACTTCCAAGTTGTCTTTAGAAAAACTGTCCCTCTCCCCTCTTCTTAACTATTTGATGTGAGTGGTTCTTTTAGTCAGGGTTCTCTAGAGAAATAGAACCAAGAGAATGAATAAATGGAAAGATAGATAGGAGTTGGCTCACGTGATTGTAGAGGCTGGCAAGTCCAAAACTTTAGCATTGGCCAACAGGCTGGAGACCCATGAAAAAGTTATAGTTCAAGTCCAAAGGCCGTCTGCTGGCATAATTCTCACTCACTCAGTGGAAGTCAGTCTTTTTTTTTTTCTTTTTTAAGGCCTTCAACTAACTGGATAAGGCCTATTGACATTATAGAAAGCAAATGTTTTACTCAAAGTGTAAAGATTTAAATGTTAATCCCATCCAAAACATTGCTTTACAGAAACATCTAAGATAGTGTTTGACTAAATAGCCAAGTGCCATGGCCTAGCTAATTTGATACATAAAATTAACCATCACAGTGGCATTGGTACCAATCCCAGGGCTTGGGTATATGTGTAGGTGGAGGGAGGTAGTGGGTGGGAAATGTGACTTGGCTTAAGCCAATCAGCACATCACATTCAGTTGGAGTAGATTTTGGGATCTTTACTGGAAACACTGGGACACAAACCCTTTCTTTTTCATTGGATTTGAAGTAGAAATATGTGAGATGTGAAACTGATGTGGTTGGTTGTGAAGGGAGCTTGTGGCCCTGCCAGAGCTGAAAACAGTCAACTCATGCTGAGAGGAAACCACACTGAGAGGAAACCATGCTGAAAGATCAAGGTTGGTAGAGCTATCCAAGTTCTGGATGCATTTGGTTCTGAAATTGAACCCTGGACCACCCAAAGTTACCCAACTCTACAAATTCTTAGTTTCTGCTTAAGCTAGATTCTTACAACTGAAAAAATCTTAACTGATAAATTATCAGAACTTTGATCAGTATAATAATTCTTTTGTTACAAAAGTTAATTGTTACAAATTAGCTATTCTAGTTTCAAGCTCAAGTAAAGATAATTGCTTAAACAATTCTGTAGACTGCTATCTAGGGATATTACTTCTTCTACCAAAGAATTTTTCTGTCACTAGAGGGCGTCAGAGCCCACAGTGGCCAAGTGACAAAGTCTATTAATAATTATTTCTACCAATTAATAGAAATATGTATGGGTTCTTGGGAAAGGAAGAGAGAGGACGGAGATCTTAGATTTGGATAGGTAATCTGTGAATCTAATCATATAGACATTGTCACCTCCTGGAGAACATATTATTTCCTACAGGATTAAAGAAATGACATATGCAAATCACCTAGTACACACAATAAATACTAATTTTTACTTTTACATTGCTTTTCCTAAATGAAGTGACTTCACAAGACAAATTGATAATTTGGGGGTCACAGTTCAGATGAAAAAAAGTAAGTTAAATGGCTTACAACCACTTTTCCTGTACTACTTCCTTCCTCCACTACTTCCTTCCTATACTTCTTCCTTCCTGCACTACTTCCTTCCTGTACCACTTCCTTCCTGTACCACTTCCTTCCTGCACTACTTCCTTCCTGCACTACTTCCTTCCTGTATTACTTCCTTTCTGTACTACTTCCTTTCTGTACTACTTCCATGCTCACATTCCTGAAGCCTAAGAAAAGTGTCCTAAAGCCTAACTGACCAGGGCTGGAAAACTTGGCCACCAAGATATGCAGCAAATTATTAAGTCTCCTAATTTTTCCCACTATGAAAACTGGTATACTAACCTACCTCTTGAGCAATGACTGAAAAAGACAATGCATTAAAGAATGTTTAGACTGTGGCAACTAAAAAGCAGACAGCAATTGGGTTAGTAGGGTGAAAACATCTGTTCTGTGGGCCCTGGCTTCTTAATCCAATTGAGTACCCCTCCCCTGACATTTTTGCATATGGTGGTCCCCTGAAAACACAGATATTCTATGAAAACAAACATGAGAAGCATGCCTACCCCCTGGGTGTTAAGAACTGACACAAGGAAAGATAGGGACCACTTTTCAAGAGATGTTGATTTGGGGGCAGATAAAATTTCATCCTGAGTGGGCTTAGCTTAAGGCAATGTTTCTTCAACTTCAATCTATTTTGCCATTTCTGTAGTCTACTTGTATATACTAAATATATATTTAACTAATAATTTATTTTTAAGTCAACTTATTTTGTTCCCTAAGTCATTTTGTTTTTAAAATAAAACATTACATTATAACCATAAATGGAAAATCAGCATTCCTTGCCAAAAATAGAAGGTATCCATAAAAATAAATATGCCACTATTGAAACAAAATATTTGCCTGCATGCCAATAAAAATTGTTTCCCAAACTACTAGTGGCAAGGGCATTATACTTCTGGAAAGGTTGGCTTAAGGCATGGCAGCGCTTTCTCTCTACTTTAGACTTCCTCCCTGCCCCCAAACAACCTCCAGAGAAAAGACTAGCTAGTGTGGGCCTCAGGCCCTCCTCATGGGCCTGGAAGGGAGGTGACTGGAAGGAACAAGAGACATCAGAACAGCATGAGGGAGGGGCAGTCATTGTCTCCCAAGCCCATCTAGTGCCAGGGAGTGGGATGGGGGTGGGGGACTCTTTACCAGGGCACCAGCCTTTCCCTGTTAGAAAAGGCTGAGGGGACAGCTTGAGGGAGATAATGGATGGGCAGGGAGGACTACAGGGAGTCCTGCAGAGATAGAAAGAGAATGTGGAATGGGATGTTGGAGGAGAATGGGCAGGGGAGGAGCCCCAGAGCACTTGGGTAGAAAGGAGACATAGGTGGTTTTCTGCAGAAGGCAATGTTAGTCGACTAATACAATAGTGGTATTAACATCTAGTTCAACTGAGAAAGGACAATGGGGAGAAAGAGTTTTGATTTGGATAATCTGTGCATATGAGCATATAGACATTTTCCTCTCCCTGAGAACACCCCCAAATTAGCAACTTGTCCTATGAAGGACAGAGTCCCTAGATATAAATCCTAGTTCAGTTACTTCACTAGATGTGAGAAGCTGTGCATAATATTTAACCCCTCTCAGCATCAGTTTTCTCACCTGGTAAACATAAGTCTTTCCAACAGTAATGATATGCCCAGATAGATTCTGGGAGATAAACTTGGATTTTGTTATTTTATTTATTTTATTATTTTGTTGTAGCAATTTGCCAATGGCCCCCTAAAGACCATCACCAACGCCTTTTATAGGTGGCAGTTGATATAGGCCCTGCCTATATTACCAACTAAATGTCATTTTATTTACCTATACTGCTTTCCTCCTCACTAGGCTAGAGAGCATAAGCACTGCCTGCAGCCTAACATCTTGGCTTCTCCATGAAGAATACCATATTTTTTAAACTTTCCAGAAAATAACTGAAAAGGAATCATCAGATCAGGCTCTCCCCTCCCATGGTCTCCCATTATTGCCTCTGATCAGGTCTGAAGGTGAGAAGATGTCTCTCTCTCTTTCTCTCACTCTAGCTCTTGCTCTCCCTTTCACTCTGTCTCTTCCTATATGACTTGGCCATTTAGACAGGCCCAGTGGTTTCATGAATAACTAAACATAAGAAGTCAAGAGAGGCCTGGCTCAGAGAGCATGGACCACATCAGCCTTTTGAAGTTCCCTTAGTGTATTAAAGCAAAACAAAAATCAACACAATATTGAACCAGTTTGCAAACACTGGGATATCTTATGTTTTCATATAGCAAATAGATGCATTTAATACTTAGAACTTAAATGCAGAATCACATTTGGTGCTAGTGTCATTTGCCACTTGACATATGACACTAGTGTGCTACTATCATTTAAGGCCCTTCATGACTGTGGGGTGTAATCCATTCCTACTCACTCTTAATAGATTCTGACCTATACAGGCAGAAAGGTAGTATGGGAGAGACCTCTGGGACCATAAGATCAACACCTCCCACTTTAGACTCTTCTCTACAACAGCCCTAGGAGACTACACCAGCCTTAGCTTGACTCCTTCCAGCACTGGCTCCTACTATTTCTCAAGGCAATTTATTACATATCAGAACACTTTGCAGTTGTTAGAAATTCTCCCGATGTTATAACTTCCTATAGTTTAACAAGTGTTTGCTCAACATCCACTATACAAAGAACACTACTTATAAACAGAACTAGAATAGCTCTGTGAAAAAGGAATGATAGTAACCCTCCCCTCACCTGAGGTAGGAAGAGGCATTTTACCATCTGAAACCTCCCCACAAACTCTACACAAACCTGCATGCATCTAAAGAGTTTTTTGTCCAGGCAACAAGGATAACTAGGCAGCCTAAGTCTCTGATCACAGTAAACTGAGGGAGAAATTGAGGCCTTTATCAGCCTTTGCACTGAGGAAAGACACTAAGCAGGCATTCCTCCACCTGGCTTTGAAATCCCCTTGGAATTTCCAAGTCATTCAATGGGTTTATCAAAGTTCTTTCTGAAATTTCTTCAAACTTATTTTTATTTAAACCACACAAATATGTTGAAAGGAATGGTTTAAAGGGACAGACATTTAAAAATAAACAAAAATAAGATATCAGTAATATCTAATGCTTATATAATGTCCAGAACATTTGTGTGTGTGTGTGTGTGTGTGTTTTTTTTTTTTTTTTTTTTTTTTTTTTTTGCATAACCTGTTAACTTATCTAAACCTTACAACTCCCTGTAAAGTAGGTCCTGTTACCATCCTATTTTATAGAAAAGAAACTTGGAAAGACTTGCCCAAAGTCACACAGTTACTAGGTAACAGAAGTGAACTTCCAAAGCCTATGCTGAATCCATTTCCTCTTTAGTTACCTCAGTGGCCTTATCATCAAGATGTAAACTCCCTAAGTAAGTACAAAGCCTTCTTGTTTTGTTGTTCTGTTGAACACATGGTTTCCGGTTGATTAAAACCATACTCTTGTCATATTATTTTCTTAAATTCCGGGTCATATTGACTAAGATCATAATACAGTGAGATAAGGGAACTCTTTCTTGCACTGGGTAAGTCTGCTAAGTAAGAATTTTTGCTGTTTATGTTCACTCCTCTAAGAATCATAGCTCACATAGCCATGCAAATTGGATTGAAATAAAGATAATCTAATTAAGACAGTGTGGCCATAACTCCACACTCTAACTCAGTGCATTTCAAACCTCAATATGGATATAAACTACCTGTCAATATTATTAAGATTAAGATTCTGATTCGGTAGGTCTAAGTATGAGGTTATGAATTTCTCACCAGCTCCCATGTGATGTTGATGCCACGTTCTGGAAAGGACACATGAAGTAGCAAGAGTCTTTGCTCAGGGAAACCACTCATCAGTTCGGTTGTTTACCTCAAACAGATAAGGACCAATTAACCCCACTTTTACCACTTTGGCCAGTTATATTATTATTACAGCATTTCTTTAGTGGTAGTAGATGGGAAATGTAGGGAAATCAACAAATTCAGTAATCTCATTATAAACATATTTGTATCCAGTCTCCATTTAGCTTCATATTACACTGCTTAGGCTGAATTTTTACTTAGCAGAAACAAGTCTTACTTGACTACATAAATACATTTTCCTATCAAGAAAAAGAAAAAAAAACTTAGTTCATTTTCAAAGACACTGAGCTTTTATTTCTGTGAACAGCAAGAAAACTGGCTAGAAGCCTGCTGACTCCCTCAGCCAATCAGGATAATGTGACCATAAATGTCCATGAATTCCCCCCTCAGTGAATCTCTGCCTTTTTTATTTCTGTCGTGGGACATGTATCTTACAGTTCTGTACCACATATTCTGCCATTTATGTCTTCCTTTCCTCATTTCAAAAAAAAAAAGAAAAAAACACATTTAAGCTCGGTGAGATCTCTTACCAAATAATCCATTGTCTTTTATGTTAAAAGCTGTTAACTTCATACACATGCAACTTTTAATTGCTTCTTAATGATAATACCTCTTCATTTAGATCACTTAGTATGAGCCAGGTACCATTTAGTGGGTTTTATAAATATGATTTCATTCAATGCTCATAAAAATCTTGGGAGGTAGGTCTTCTTATTGTGTGCACAATATAGGTGAAACAAACATGGGCCCAAGCACTTGAGGATCTTGCAGTAGTCACCCAACCAGTAAGCTGTAGAGCTGGGGTTTGAACCAAAGCAATTGCTTCTCGCATATAACAACATACTGCCTTCTTGAACTAACACATACCAGTTAATCAAGCACTCACTATGTGTTAGACCCTTTTATATATACTAACTTATTTAATTCTCATACCCACACCTACAGGGAAAGAATAACTTTCCTGATTCACATAGAGGTAACTCGATCAAGTTCATGTGTCAAGTAAAGGTATCAAGATTTGCTTGACTCTAAAGCCTGGGCTCTTTGCACAGTATCATGATAATGCCTGTCTTTTTAGTGAATGGGACGGTTTGCCTCATTGCTGTTTTTCATGGAAAGCCCATCTGAAACCTTTACATACCCACGAGCACAGACTGAAACACGTAGTATCTGGGACTGGGACTAAATTACTTTGCCCAATCTTTTATCTACCGTTTCCCCCATCCAGCCTCTCTCTCCCTCCCTACAGTGTTCCCTTCCCAGGATATGATGCGTCTCCCACTCTGCCCACCCCACTGCTTGTGGTACTGTTAACAAAGCAGCTGTTGGATTGAATTGGGAAATGTCCCTGTTTTGACCTTGGTTCTTCCTCTGTCCTAGGATCATACCTCTTCAATTTGCCTTCCTTTCCACGGATACTAGTCTAGACCTCACCCAAAATGAAATTTACTATCAACTTTTCCTGGTGTGAATATAGTTAAAAAGTATAAATCACGACGATGGAAGATAAAGCAATGGCCAGTTCTTTAAAAAAAAAAAGTCATTTCTCTCTTAACCCGATGGTTAATAAGTGGCTAATATTTATCAAGGGTTTAACTGCACAGGAAAAGTGCTTTATGCACACAATGTCTCATTTGATCCTCACCTAATCTTAACATCTAATATTATCCTCATTTTACAGATTAAGAAACATAGGTTAGGTGAGTTTAACTAATTTGCACACAGCGAGTATGTGGCAGAGCTCGAGTTAGGACACAGGTCTGGAGGCTCCACACTGAACACCCTGTGGACTGGCCCCGCTCTCTCTTGGATATTGCTGGGCCTGCCCTTTGCTTGTGCTGACTTCCTCGCAGTTGGCCTCCCCATGCCCTGTTCCTACTCTGTCATTCAAACATCCCCTCTGGAAGGACCCTATTCCTCCATAGTCCAAATCCCACTTTTCATATAAGGCAAACCAAAGCCTCCTCTGACTCACTTTATCCCTTTGTGACCTTTCCAAATTTAGAACTTTCTCAGCACTTTTGAGGAGGGAGTGAAACTGATTTGGCATTTGGAGTCTGGGAAAATTATCTCTCTCTTTTTAAATTTACATATCAGATAAATCCAGATTCATTTGGAATTGAGCTACCTCATTCTTTCTTATCATTGCCTTGTAACTGTACTTGACTTTATATGGCTCGAGTCTCATTCCTAATCAGAATGCAACTTGCTCCAGAGGGGGGACATTTTGGCCACTTTCTTTGAATGGAGGCTTTGAGCTTAAGTCTAAGATCCCAACAATTTTCCTTAACTAAACGAATACTTACGAGTACCTACTTTGTACCATGGACTGTGTTAGGCCTCAGGGAATAGCAGTAGGCAGGATAAGAACATTCCTTGCCTTCCTGGACTCTACAGATTACTGGGGATGACAAATTAGAGTAATTATAAGCATCAGGCCTGGCCTCTCTTTGCCTGTGAAATGCGTCTCTCTTTTGGCTCACCAGACACCACAGTTCTGGCTCTTATTTATCCCTGGCTGTTGCTTCCCTGTCACCTCCACTGTGGTTATGTTCAGCGTCCTGATGCTTGCTAATGTGCTCTCCTCAGTCCTCAGGTCCCCTAGCTTCAAAGAAGGCCTGAAGTGTCAACCATCACCTCTTCCCAGATGCTCTTCAAATCTATACCTCATGCCCTGACTTCTTAGTTGTACATTTAAAGTGCATTATGTTTAATTCCTGCTCATGTTCCACTCACCACCTTGAATTCTTATCGTGCCTAAAACTGAACTATTTCATTTCTGTCCAGACCAGAAGGGTGGGAAAAGTAGAAGTGGTGAACAAAACTTAAAAATTAATAAATGAAATAAAATTTCAAGTGGAAAGAAGTCCACTTTATCTTTCGGCTCAGCTGGCCATCTTCTGAAACTACAGACTTTGCAAATTAGCGTTGCCTTTTTCTGCATCTGTCAAGCTCCATAAATAGCTTGGAAGCTCTTTGAACGTAAGAACTATATCTTCTATTATTCCATTTTGCCAGGATCTACCCCAAAGCCTTTGTAGGTGCTTTACACATGTGTGAGGAGGTGTGTGGTGAGGACACAGGCACTAGAAATGACCTTTGCTGTTGCTCTCTGGATCCTCCTGGCATTTGATTAGAGAGTCAGGACTAAACAAATGGCTAGCAAATTATACAGTCAAGCACATGTAACCTTTTCTGATCGAATTGAGTTTAGATTTTGTCCTGATTTTTGATAGGAGGATCAAAACCATGGCATTTATGCTGTTCTCGCCCCATCTCTCAGGTTATGTAGACTTGTTAAAAAAAAAAAGTCATCATTAACAATTAAAAGAGAGGGAGAGTGAGAGAGAACAGCCCTAGTGTGAGACTCTCACATTCTCTTTCCCCATACTTCATTAGGGTTATTGCTGCCTACACTTATTACTGTTTAAAATCATCCCAAGATGAGTAGCCTACATTTTAAGGGTTCCTGACAATTATTTGGCCAGACTCTCATCTGTCCTGAATGCTGGCATCTTCTCCTTGTGAACGTCTCTCTTTGAAGTCAGCAGGAATCTGGTCTGTGGTGAGCCACAAGTCTTCCCTTCCTAGGAGCCAAGGCTGGCAAGGCACCCTGCGGCAGAGCCGGGAAACTCGCTGACCTCATTTTTTTTTTTCTGCTTTTTTGTCTCAGTACTCACTTTCTTCCCTTCCTTATCTCTCCTCCCCAGATCCCTACGCTCATACACAACATCATAACCCATTAAAACCAGCTTAGTAGAAGCTAAAGAATCTATAATTTTAATTGTACTTAATTTTTATCCATTTTGTTTTCAGTGTTTCAGGCAGTGGACAGTGTTTTTAAACATAAAAAGGTTTTCTGAGCTTTCAGTTTTCTGATTTATAAAACAAATATTAACAGAATAAACTTTATATGCTTATTAGGAGGATGAAAGGAGGTAATTCATAGAAAAGATGCTATGCAGTGCCAGAAACAGTAAATTCTTGATGAATATTAGTTCCTATTAATAATAATAATATAATAATAATAATAGAGAAGAGATCAAATTCAAGGACAGAAAGAATAAGGAAGGTTGCTTCTAATAGCTTCAGGTGTCATAGAAGGCTTTTTGGAGAAATTACCATTAGACGTGGAACAATTTAGCATGAATTTGTAGAAGAGAGGATTCATTTTAATAAACTCCCCCTCTCAGGGTGACCCAGACACCTAGACATCTTCAGTTCCCTGAAGTAGGGTGAGCTGGAGCCGTGGTGCAAATGAACTGAGCCTGGCTCATGACTAGACCCATCTCTCAGCATGAGCCTGACTGGTTGTCACTTCTTTCCATTGAGATTGGCTTTCAATAGAACAGAATCTTTTCTCTCTCTTACCACTTTCCAACAGGTCAGAGCAGGGGTGATGAAAGGCTGAGCAGAGTACAACAAATGTATTCACAGTTATGTTTTCTCAACTTCACCCACTTATGTGAAAAGGACAGTCAAGAGCTTATCTTAAATTTTATTTATTTATTTATTTATTTTTTATTATACTTTAAGTTTTAGGGTACATGTGCACATTATGCAGGTTAGTTACATATGTATACATGTGCCATGCTGGTGCGCTGCACCCACTAACTCGTCATCTAGCATTAGGTATATCTCCCGATGCTATCCCTCCCCCCTCCCCCCACCCCACAACAGTCCCCAGAGTGTGATATTCCCCTTCCAGTGTCCATGTGATCTCATTGTTCAATTCCCACCTATGAGTGAGAATATGCGGTGTTTGGTTTTTTGTTCTTGCGATAGTTTACTGAGAATGATGATTTCCAATTTCATCCATGTCCCTACAAAGGACATGAACTCATCATTTTTTATGGCTGCATAGTATTCCATGGTGTATATGTGCCACATTTTCTTAATCCAGTCTATCATTGTTGGACATTTGGGTTGGTTCCAAGTCTTTGCTATTGTGAATAATGCTGCAATAAACATACGTGTGCATGTGTCTTTATAGCAGCATGATTTATAGTCCTTTGGGTATATACCCAGTAATGGGATGGCTGGGTCAAATGGTATTTCCAGTTCTAGATCCCTGAGGAATCGCCACACTGACTTCCACAATGGTTGAACTAGTTTACAGTCCCACCAACAGTGTAAAAGTGTTCCTATTTCTCCACATCCTCTCCAGCACCTGTTGTTTCCTGACTTTTTAATGATTGCCATTCTAACTGGTGTGAGATGGTATCTCATTGTGGTTTTCATTTGCATTTCTCTGATGGCCAGTGATGATGAGCATTTTTTCATGTGTTTTTTGGCTGCATAAATGTCTTCTTTTGAGAAGTGTCTGTTCATGTCCTTTGCCCACTTTTTGATGGGGCTGTTTGTTTTTTTCTTGTAAATTTGTTTGAGTTCATTGTAGATTCTGGATATTAGCCCTTTGTCAGATGAGTAGGTTGAACGCCGCATATCTACAACTATCTGATCTTTGACAAACCTGAGAAAAACAAGCAATGGGGAAAGGATTCCCTATTTAATAAATGGTGCTGGGAAAACTGGCTAGCCATATGTAGAAAGCTGAAACTGGATCCCTTCCTTACACCTTATACAAAAATCAATTCAAGATGGATTAAAGACTTAAATGTTAGACCTAAAACCATAAAAACCCTAGAAGAAAACCTAGGCATTACCATTCAGGACATAGGCATGGGCAAGGACTTCATGTCTAAAACACCAAAAGCAATGGCAACAAAAGCCAAAATTGACAAATGGGATCTAATTAAACTACAGAGCTTCTGCACAGCAAAAGAAACTACCATCAGAGTGAACAGGCAACCTACAAAATGGGAGAAAATTATCTTAAATTTTTTAACAATTCAGTCCACACAAGCATTAATTCATTAGATGTCAAAATAGCAGAAAATAAGCTTCTCCTTTGGGATATGTAGGCATACATTTTGCTGCTAATCTAAAGGAATCTGGGGAATGTGGGCAAAAATTACCTTCACCAGATATAAGGATCTCAAGCACAATGCAACTTCTCTACAAACATCAGCATTGGTTTGAGCCTCTAAGAAGCTCTAATAATATTTAATGAAAGAATTATTTTATTCAATTTTCAAACTTCAACTCTACCCAGCACCTGGACCTTTACATTTGGTTTTATTTAGTAAAAATACTTTCAAGAAATTCTGTTCAACACTTTATTTCTATCATAGCTTCTTAATTATGAATACAATTTTGTTAATTTAAAATTATAATCATCTGTCTCAATAGTTGGTGTGTATTTTAAAATAACACAATATCATTGAATTGCTGCTGATTATGTTCAGGGTACATTAGAGATATGTTAGTCATTTTCAATTTAGTGGAAAGGAAGTGGGTTTTTGCTATAGAACTACAAAATTTTAGGGTCAAAACACTTGAATTAGTTCAGTACAATGGAAGGACTATTCAAATGTAATTAATGTACTAATTTTCTCCATTTTCCGTGATCCTCATAATGAACCAATATATTTTCCTTGGCCTATCAATCCTTTTGTTAGAGACTAAATAGTTTCCCCTTGTTTACTCTGGCATTTGTGATAATATCAATATATTAATTATATGTTATCTATTATACCAACCTTGTCCAACCCACGGCCCGTGGGCCACATGCAGCCCAGGATGGCTTTGAATGCAGCCCAACACGAATTCGTAAACTTTCTTAAAACATTATGAGATTTTTGGCGATTTTTTTTTTAGCTCATCAGCTATAGTTAGTGTTAGTGTATTTTATGTGTGGCCCAAGACAATTCTTAGTCTTCCAATGTGGCCCAGGGAAGCTAAAAGATTGGACACCCCTGTATTACACATTATATTATCACTATAACTAATTGATAATAGTAATGTATGGTTGGGTCCTAATCGGGATGGGACATAAGATTCAGTGGCTGGGTCATTTGACCTTGCCTCAAACTTGAAAGAGACATCAGATTTTGGTGACAATTAATTTGTCAGCCAAATGAAGAGGAAAGAAATTTGGCTTCTATTAATCTCACTGCATAGTATTATGGTATAACACAATGGGAGTAGTACTGTATACTGATAGTGCACTAAAAACTCCCCGAATCTAAGCATAGAGGACAGATTCAATGGAGGTGAGCCTCAAAAGCTCAAGTCACCAAGTCACCTCCTGCTCTGTCAAGTATCTCCTGGTTTGTGGCCTTTCTTTAATTCTCGAATATTTATTAAGAGGCCAATATGTGCCAGGCACTGTTTTATGACCTGGAGGCGCAGCATTGACCAACATTGAAAAAAAAAAATCCTACTCTCATGGAACTTACGATCCAGTGGAAAAGTAGTCAGGGCCCCATTTTCCTAAGCCCAGAGCCCACACATTTATTTGCTGATAGTTCCCTTTGCTCTCCATGCCCCTTCCTGTACCATCTCTACTGTTCCACCTGATTCTTTACGTATTGGAGAACTGGGAAAGCAGGAATGACAGGAAAATTGTTATTATGTCTAGTCTGTAATAAGAAAAAAACAAACACTTTCAGGTACTTTCAGTTTTTAAAAAGTATGACAGTACTATTGTCCTTCTCAACTAATTTTTCTGCATGGAGCTAATACCTCATTCAAATGCACACGCTGCTCTGTACACGGTTTCTTCCGCCTCTGATTTATCTCCTTCCTTTTGTATAAATTTAGCAATCTTTTCCTCACAAACCTTAAAATAGCCAAGCATTCAAAGATTTGGAAAATGTAGAGGCAGTATCATTGTTTGCTCTTGCTTGAGAGTTTTTTTTTTTTTTAATCGTTGACAGCATTCTGGTTTCACTTTCACTTCAGTGGGTAATTTAATGTGATACTAATACAACCTGTAATAACAGTTAAATGCATGGAGCACGAACTACATGCTAGAAATTACAGTAAACAATTTGCATCATCTAACTGAATTTCCAAAATAAACTTATTATTTTCCTCACTTTAAATATGCCTTTTGAGAGGTGAAGTAAATGGCCCAGAGTCACAAGCCAGCAAGTGGCTGATCTGTACAGTATTACAGTGATCTAGCATTTAGGATTTAGAGCGCTATATAGTACTATAGTGATCTCAGCTCATCTAACTGCAGGGCCACGTTCCACATATTTTTTGGCCCCACAATATTAGAGCATTAATCAGGATCCCAAAAATGCTTCCTAATTAGAGTGAAAGAGATTTATTTTATCAAACAAAGTCTTAAGTGAACTATGCCAAAGTCAATGATCTGGTGGAATTCACAGAAATGTTTGTATTACTTAATAACCATTAACTAGCCAGGCATGGTGGCTCATGCCTATAATCTCAGCACTTTGGGAAGCTGAGATGGGAGGACAGCTTGAGGCCAGGAGTTCAAGATCAGCCTGGACAATATAGTGAGACCTTGTTACTATTAAAATAAATAAATAAATAACTGATCTCACTGGCTACAAGAGGAATTCATTTTTTAAAAGACCACCAACATTTAATAAATTGCATTCTCTAGCAATTGCTTTTTTCATATTTTTCAACTAATTGGGTAGGAATTTAGTTTCAATATCACTTTTAATACATAAAGTACCAATTTGAAGTGCAAAATCTTTAGACATCTATTTTGGGGAAAATGTCAAGAACATTTTTCTATTTGGCATTGGTTCACCAAATTGAGTCCTTGAGAGCCTGATTTTTTTTTTTTTCACCAAAGAGTCAAGCCAAATGAAATTCCACCCACGTTAGTCAGGGTATATTTCTGGGTCCTCTCAATGTCTGGTTTAGTTCTAGTTTTAAAATTTAAGAAGAATTTAAAGCTCTGGAGACATGTATTTATGTAAATACACAAAACAGAGGCAGGGCACAGTGGCTCATGTCTGTAATCCCAGCACTTTGAGAGGTCCAGGCGGGTAGATCATCAGAGGTCAGGAATTCGAGACCACCCTGGCCAACAGGGTAAAACCCCATCTCTACTAAAAATACAAAAATTAGCTGGGCGTGGTGGTGCACGCCTGTAGTCCTCGCTACTCGGGAGGCTGAGGCATGAGAATCGCTTGAACCTGGGAGGTGGAGGTTGCAGTGAGCTGAGACTGTGCCACTGCACTCCAGCCTGGGCGACAGAGTGAGACTCTGTCTCATAACAAAAACACACAAGACATAGAGGTAAATATTTATGTATGCAAATATATATACCTGTTAATATTTGGCCTGGCAAAAACAGTTTGCTAGATGATTTTTTTGGAAAAGGCTTTGGTTCAGTAGCAGAAATGAATATGGGTGTTATTCAAATGTCTGTAAATTAATGAGGGCCCTTTGAGGTTAGTTCAGCTTAAGCATTTTGAATCTGAAGAATGAATGGTCTATGTTAAAGATGCTTTTGGGGAATGGGAAGTGGTGACAAACACAACATTGCATCCCAAACAGAGCCAAGGTGACAGGGTACCTGGCCTCACATCCATGAGTACTTGAGAAACTGATAATCAAGATGAAATGACGTGTTTTTCTTTAGAAAGGAAAGGCAGAGATAATGGCTAACAAGAAAGAGTTGTTTTCATCGGGAACTCTATGAAAGATTTTCACAATTGTTCGCCTGGCAATTCTTGGATTACCTAATCACCTTCTCCATTCCACTTCTTGTCTCTCTCAGAGCTGTTCAGATGGTGATGATGACCTAGAGATCCCCAAGAGTGGGAATCCATTTGGTCCATAGCCAATTTTCAGGGGCTCCATCTCCAAAGCAGTGCCAGAAATTATCCCAGAAAGGAATTTCTGAATCTATAGGTCACACAGAAGAAAGGGAAGGTGAGAGGATTGGGAGGCAAGGCCCAGGAAAAATTAAAATAGAAAAATAAAACATAGAAGTTAAAATTATTTTTTGAAAGACTAAGTACTTACAAGGTTAGCTTTTAAAATAAAACAACTACAAACTCTAAATGGTTTCAATTTTGCTTTAGTATTCTGCAGTGTTTCTTTTCAATAGATTGGCCCTCACATATAAACACATACACATACACAAACACAATCTTTATATTTGCCATCTAAAACACCTAGTATCCTACAAAATTACCTGTAAGAGTCTCAGTTAAGTAGACACTGGAAAAACAATCAGAAACAGATTAAAAGATAAATGGGGTCTCACTTTGATAGCACATATAGTTAACTAGAAACAACGCAGAGAAAAAGTAAAAATCATACCATTGTATGAGGCTTATAATATACATTATAATGGGATGAACAAGGGTAAAATCGATTTATACATTTGTAAGGTTACAGTAATTTCCATGAAGTAGATGGTGAGTATTTAAGGATGTATATTGTAATCCCTAGAGCAACTTTGTAAAAATAATGCCAAAAGATATAGTTAAAAAGCTAATAGATAAATTACAATGAAATTTAGAAAAAAAATTAAACAATATAAAAGAAGGCAGGAGAGAAGAAAGAGAACAACAAAAAAGGCAAAAAATAAAAATAGATCAAAGAACAGTAAATCTAAATCGAACTGTATCAAATATTACATTAAATATTAACAGACTAAAAATAAAAGGAGATCAATTTTTTTCCTAAACTCCCTGTTCTCAAAACTCCTTTTGTGACATCAATTACTATTACAAATAACAGTTACCAATCCCTTAATTTCCTGCTGCCTGAAGACAAGACAATAGCTGAATTTACACTCCTCTCCCCTTAATCGTTAGCAATTGAGGACCTTGTTTCATTTCATTTTAAATGGCCAGTTAATAAGTAGTCCCTGGCTGGGCGTGGTGGCTCATGCCTGTAATCTCAGCACTTTGGGAGGCTGAGGCGGGTGGATCACAAGGTCAAGAGATTGAGACCATCCTGGCCAACATGGTGAAACCCTGTCTCTACTAAAAATACAAAAATTAACTGGGCGTGGTGGTGTGAGCCTGTAGTCCCAGCTCCTTAGGAGACTGAAGCAGGAGAATAGCATGAACTGGGGAGGCAGAAGTTGCAGTGAGCTGAGATCACGCCTCTGCACTCCAGCCTGGCGACAGAGCAAGACTCCATCTAAAAAAAAAAAAAAAAGTAGTCCCCTTGGACAGCAGCCTTCTAGCGCTTCAGAAACTATAAATTTGGCTTAAATAAACTGTTAGGCAAACTGTAGATCTGCTCACCATCAGAGCATCACCCTCTGAACACCAATTCTTGGCTGCTTTCTAGGGAGAAAATATGCAGGAAGGACAAAAAGAGGGATATTGCACAAATTGCTAAAGCCATTACATGCTAGGACTCCTGTTTGTATTATAGTCTTACACGTGTCCTATTAGTTACAAAAAGATAGCAACAAAAAAGAGCAGCAAAAGAACTCTTAAAGTGGTTGGCATTATGACTTTTATTATAAGAAAAAAAGGCAAATCCAAATCATCTAAAAAAGGAAGGAGTTAGTCAAATGACAAAATCTGGATCTAAACCTGTATCAGATGGGATTTGAGGAAATATGTCTGCCACTCATTCTTAGCTTATTCTGTTTACCCAAACACTCAGATCCTAACTTGAATTTAAATGGGCCGTGTTGCCAAAGACTGCAACAGAATCAGATGGCTCCATGCCATTGGCACCCTTTACAAAACACAAAACATACTGCATGAAGTTTTCTCATTTTGTGTTTGTGTTTGTCCTTAGCTGTACTTATTTTATCAAGTTAACTCTTTGAGGATGAAAAACAGATACATCATCTGTTACTTCACACACTTAGAGATGAGATACTCATTTAAGTAGCAGAAGTTGTGAACTTTAGGAAAAGTGAGGTCAAGAAAAATATCTGCCTTTTCCAGCTCAAATGCTTGGTACAAACTTTTTCTGCCCAAATCTACAATTGGCTAAGCATTGCTTGAAAATCAGACGCCATTATTCGGGAAAATGTCTATTATTTGTGCCATCTGTAGATCATGACAGAAGACAAGGTTTGCCTTTACATCTTAGTATTATTTTATTTATTGCCTTTGGGCGGAGGAATCTGAATGTCAGACATGAGTTCAGACATTATTTTTGTCAGTTTTTGGATGTATAAATATTAAGTGGGGAATTCTTTATATATATACACACACACACACACACACACACTTTTTTATTATACTTTAAGTTCTAGGGTACATGTGCACAACGTGCAGGTTTGTTACATATGTATACACGTGCCATGTTGGTGTGCTGTACCCATTAACTTGTCATTTACATTAGGTATATCTCCTAATGCTATCCCTCCCCGCTCTCCCCACCCCACAACAGGCCCCGGTGTGTGATGTTCCTCTTCCTGTGTCCAAGTGTTCTCATTGTTCAATTCCCAACCATCATTCTCAGCAAACTATTGTAAGGATAAATGGGGAATTCTAATGCTGTGCCAACTGTCTAATTTCTGGACTATCTAAATGCAATTTTAGTATTCTGGTTGAATGTCCTTCTTCCTACCTCCTAGCATTCACTACCTCTCTGAGTTGTGAGTAGCTAGAACCAGACCTATTCAGGTAGTCTCAGCACTAACTGAACGCCCTCCTCAACAAGCAGGGGCCTAAGCTCCTATGAAGCTGGATAAAAGTGAAATGGAAGTCAGAAAAGGGCACAGCAATTTGCTGCATTCAAAAGGAACTCAGCGAAGAGGACAGACAATCAGGTCAATAAGACTTTACTGGAATTTCTGGGTGGTTCTGGAAGGTGGAATACAAGGGAGAGATTGAAGAGCTGTTTCTTGAGATGGAAACGTCCAAAGACCTCCTTAAACAGGGTAGTGACTTTGCCTATGAGTAGAGAAAAAGTTGGTAGGTGCCTTGATCCAAGTACAGTAAAACCTTTCTTTAGGTATCATATCCTGAATTTTAACATTAAGTATAAGGGATTTATGGACTGCTTGAATATTAGAAACATTGTTCTATCTCTAAAACCCATCTAAATTCATTTTTCTTTCCAGTTATCAGTGTGGTTACATCTGACGTCTGCCATGAGCAATTTTTTCCAAAAAGTGTTTATTTTATGAAGAGTTAGAGGCATTCATTCATTCGTTCATTCATTCATTCAACATAAAGGCCTTGGCAGAGTTTACAATTTAACAACATCCTTGCAAGAGATATTTACTGAGCCCCTCCTATCCCTTAGGCACTGTGCTAGATACTGGGATATGATGGTGAACAATCAGTGTCCCTTCCCTAGGCTGGTGAGGAAGATGTATACGAATGAAATAATTGTATCAAATGTATTACTACAAACTACAGTAAGTACTATGAAGGAAAGATAGAGTGCTATTAACGTATATGAAAAGATATAGTTGGGAGGATGATATGGTGGTCAGAGGAGGTTTCTTTCCTTGAGAAACTGGTCATCCCAGAGAGCCAGAAACAATTTGAGTAGGAGTAAACCAGCCAAAAAAAAAAGTGATCTTGATGCTGCAAACATAAAACTGATCTAAAAAATAGTCTGTTTGAAAAATGATCATGACAGATGGAGCCTAAAGCTCTGAAAGTCTCCTTTGCACAACAGAGACTATGCCAATGGGGGCATGCTTTCTTTGGATTTGTAGGCTTTTTCAAATAGAGACATCAAAAGCAGAGTGACCATTCAGCCTTACAAGCATGAGTTTGGGCACAGCTGATGCCCTAAGGCATAGCAGAATGTGGAAATACTCACTTCTTCCAAAGATTTTTTTTTGATGGAAAATTGACACTAAAGAGCTTTTTTTGGGAAATGAAAGAAATGGCAAGGTAATTTGGACATTACGGAAATCTATGCTGATCCTATGGGAATAACAATGTGTTCCAATTTCCCCCATTCTCACTGCTTAAGATTATACTTCTTGCCTCAATAATCAAGATCCTACTTATAAAAGTGTTTGTCTTGAGTATTATTTAATAAGAGAGAAAAAAACACAAAGTTGTAATACAACCCAGATAACAGCTTTCCAGACCCTTCCTTCTTATTTAGGAGGATCTTCTACCTAAACACATTTTTCATCTCTGTGTAGTATTGCGGGGTGGGGGTTGGGGGGAGACATCAAATAATGTAATGTTTTATGAATACCAAACCTACACAAAGTTCTGAAAGACAGAAACTTTTCCAATTCTAGATCCTCCACATCTACTTTCCAAGAAGAAGGCTTTAAAAGGGATGAATAAGGTATAAGGGACCTGCAGAATCTCTTTAACATGCACACATTATGGTACTAGAAAAGAGGACAGAAATGCCTATATCAACAGCTGCCTCTAACATTTTTAGCAGAGCCTCATTCCAGGCCAGCCAGTGAGAATTAAGGAGGAAAAGGCTTTCAGTGATTCAGAAGCTGCCTTCCCTTATAAAGTCAAGGTTCTCTGGAGTGGTATTTTGACTACTTTTGGAGGAGGGATTGCCTACATCCACTTCTCTAAAGAAGCCAGAATTTTCTCTTCCTCTCTACCAAAAAAGTACTCTACCGACAAACATGTGTGCAAAATGCACTGTGCCTGCATTCCTTCAGGTCAGCAGAGTGCCCGTGTTACCAACATTCACAGCTGGTTTTGGGATAAAGTTATTGTTGTCATGGATTCAGGAAAACAAACATGGTTTTAATTGCTCCATTATGAGTTTTAAACCCAAGATGATCAAAAACCCTGCATATAGATTTGTCCAGCTCCCATCGCTGAAAGGAATCACCTGTATTACATATGCTGGCTACAAAATAAGAACATTCATTAAATGCATAGATAGGACCACTCAAAACATAATTAGGTGTCTGGTTAGTCAAATATTCTGGATAAATGAGGATGTCTATACGTAACATTTCTGAGTTACCAGTTTTTAGCGATTTAAATACAAATTAAATATGCAAAATACAAGTTAAATACATATAACTGCAAACACAGAAACTACTGAATTGAATAGTTTACTTCTGCAGAAATGTCAAGACCATGACAACACACCTTAAGGTCACAAGTAGAAAACTCTAATTACTGTTATATGTTACAGAAAAAAAAAAGGACTTTTATCTGGTTACTATAGTTGTTTGATTTCTGGATAAGCCATAAACTTGAAGTATGATAATCATACTAACAAACTCTTGAGATATCATTCATGTAAAATTCAAATTCATATTTATTTCAAGTAGTTTCTCCAGAGGAAGAAAGGGAACAACTTTGCCAACCATTTTCCTGTTTTAAATTTAGGGATGATTGAAATGAGTTCTGGTGTGTGAGCCATCATTTATTCTGAACCTGCTGATGTAATTCACAGATTCAGCCCATTTTCCTTGTATTGGTCTTTACCAGACATGGCTTACAGTAACAAAATCATGAAACAAAATATTCTATTTTATATGTTCATCTTCTGTCTTTGAAAGTTCAAGAAACAAGGGCTCTGATACCTGATTTGGTTAGTGTTTGAAGGTTGCCAAGCTGCGTTGCAGGTAATAATTTGGGCTTAGGTAACGTGGATTGTCATAAAATGCATGTAAGCATGGGTTAGTGCTGAGGAATAGAATATTGAAAGTCACCAGAATTCAGTATTCCACTGTATTCTCGCATCTGTCCTCATCGCCACCTGATGAAGCAGGTGTTACATCCTTCTCATTTTATAGATGAAAAAACTGAGGTGAGATGCTAGATGATTTGCCAAGGGACTCAAAATAAATTGTTGAAAACTGGGATATGAATCCAACCTACCTCCAGAGTCCATACTCTTGCCCCTACCTGATGATGCCTTTTATCATAGGTAATAAGAGTCTTGTCCTGTTCCAACTATCTCAAATTCCAATCAGGTTTAAAGAACTGGGAGCTCTTCAGTATAAAATTACCCTATAGGGTCTCAATTTTGTTGGAAAAGGAAGTGAATGCTTTGAATTCCAAGTTGCAGCTTTTAAAATTCTTGATGCATCCAAAGATATCTCGAGGGTCTCTTCCTGTTCACTTTCTTTTCTAGGGGCTAAAGTATGTCTGAAGCTAAAATAAGTGTTGTATAAACTCCCAGGCTGATCTTGGCACACAGCCTGCCCTCTTGGCGCTGTTTGAGCCGTGTTGCTCTTTATGGGATCTTCTCACTCAAGCCTCAGGATCTCCTAATGGTATCCTAAGCTTCCAGTGCTTCCCATGTCACTCTGGACAACAAGGATTTAAACACCACCTGACACCTAATATCTGACCTAATTAATCCAAATTTGAGTGACAACTGATAATCTGATTGGCACTTAATAGTTTTCAAAACATTTGAGCAGGTTACGTCTTTGACCTGCTCAGGAGCCCTGAAAAGTGGTGGCTGGCAAGTGCCATTGTCATTTTGCAGATGAGGAAACTGATATGCAGGTGATTGCCCAAACACAGACAGCCAGTAGATGAGGAGATCATGGTTCCCGGGACAGAATTTTAGGCACTCTGTCTAAGTCATGCTTTCCTTTTGTGAAACTATCAACCTCTTCTGCTTATTACCTCACAGACGCCACAGATAAACAGAAGAGTTTATACTGCCTATTTATATTTTCAAATTCAATATTTCAATCAGAAATTGTTAGAGGTAGACAGGATATTAAAATAATAGGCCCACACACTTATAGATTACAAAATGAGGGCCAAAGGGCTTAGTGAACTCTTCAAAGCCACACAGACAATCAGAGGCAGGGCCTAAAATAGAATGCAGGCCCACAGTCCTGTCCAATCCCCTTCCCTGTCTATAAATCTGCTCTCCATTCTGTTCTCTGAGGACATAAGCCTGGGATCCTATAATCTAACAAGAAAAAGCTATGATAATATTGATGAAGATCATTCCTTACTATTCTTCTGTATTTTTGAGACTTCAGTATCACATTCCCTTCTTACCCTCTGTCCAAGTGCTTCTGTGTGGCTCTTGTTTAAATGCAGATCTCTAGGCCCCATGCCAGAAATCCTGGCTCAGGTGAGCCCCAGGAATGTATTAGGACCCTTACTTTCAATGGCAAAAACCGTGATTACTTTTGCACCAACCTAATACATTTTAACAAATTGCCCAAGTGATTCTGTTGACCATGGTTCCGTAAATTCAGGCCATGCTTTAGGAAACTCTGCTCTAACTCACCATTTTCAAGGACTGGAGTGGAAAAAAACATTGGTGTACCTCATTTAAGGAATATTTATTTTTGGCAGGGCTCTCTCAAAAGTTAGTCATTACGGTGATCAATAATTAGTTAAAAGCAAATCAGCCCAAACCAGCAGTGGATCATAAAATTGACACTCTTCCATGGAGTCTGCTGTTTCTTTAGTAAGGGGCTCTTTGCTCAGCAATCCCTGGGAAAATCTGTGCTTTGCAGAAACGCAGGGGAAAGCATGATGGTCACCCTTGGATGCTTTGCATTATAATGGCTTGACCTTGCAACTATGGTTCAACCTGTTTGCCCGAGGACCTCTGTTCTGTGCATTGGCTTTTGGTGGTCGATATGTTGGTATACCTAATGTGTTTGACCTCCTAAGGCAAGTACACTAGGCAGCCGCGTGCTGCTTAAGGAAAATAGGGCAAGGCTTTTATGTTATAATAATCCTGAAATGTGCTAAAGAAAGCCTACAGCCAGAGAATGTCCCTTATCTTATGCATCTTATCTGTTCTTTCCTTAAAATAAATTAGGGAAACTTTCTGAAACTAACAACGTCTGAGATGGTCATTGCAGACAGCTCTTTTAAGGTTTGGGGAAAATAGAAAGTTGCTTAACCAAATTCCTGAGTTTCTACTATATGTAGAAGGGCAGGGTGCCCTAAGGGAAAAATGAACACACTGGCTGCCTCCAAAAGTTTACAACCTAATGGTGAATATACTGCAAATGTGAGAAAATATAAGAGCTTACATCAAGTAAGTGTGCTGATGAAATCACTGGAGTGATTGGAGCATTCTCCCTGTAGAAAAAATGCATCTAAGAAGGTTTGCTGTAGATGAATTTTGAGTAGACTTTTAAAATAAGGCAGAAACATGATTTGGCAGAAGAAGAAAAGGGAAGCTATCCCCGGCTCTGGAAATAGAATACACAGGGCTGGACTATATGAATTTGTGTGTTGTGGGGAAGGAGGAAACTTAAGACACTAAAAATGTTTGTAAAGCTTGGAGTGAAAGTTGCAAAGGAGCAGCAAACAGGAGGGCAGAGGAAAAACAGGCGGGCAAAAGAAAGTTACAAAGGAGCAGCAGAACGGGTGCCTCCTTTGAATGACCATGCTTTCATAATACCTTAATTTGTACAGCTGCAAACAGGGAAGGAGACCAGTTGGTACAAGATATGTAGATACTTTTTGCTGAAGGGTAGCTGAATATGCCACCCCAAAATATGCCTCTCTGGCATAAGGATTATTTTGGGTTGAAAGCAATCGAGAAGTAGATACAAAAAATCTCTCTGCCCTACCCCTATTTGCTTAAAAGCAGGACATACACTTATAAAGGTGTCCCTCCTTCCCTCTCTACCAAGAAGGACAAAGGTTGATCACCAGGGATGACCTTAGGCCCTTGCTTGCCTGAAGATGGCACAGGGAAATCTACATAACAGACTTTACTATATAACCTTTTGTCTATCATTAGTTTCCCATGTATTTGTTTTCCCACAATTTGCCACCCCTAGAAACTCAAGATCCTTTCCCCTTGTCTTGTTACTTCCCCACCAATGTGTTGTTCTTTGTTGATGATGCCACATAAACCAGAGTTCTAAGCCACTTCTTTGAGAATTGCTCATTCCCTGGGTATCTCCCATATATACGTGAAGCCTATTTGTTAATAAACTTCTGTTCGCTTTTTTCTTTTTCATCTGCCTTTTTTTGCAGGGGTTCCAGATAAGAATTCGGAAGAATAGAGAGAGAATTCTTTTTTCCTCCCATACAATGCAAAATATGTGAAACTAAACTAAAATATATTAAACTAAAGTAAATATATGAAACTAAAGTAAACTAAAATATATAACAAAATACACAAATTATAGAATAAAATAAAAAAATATAAAAACATATGAAACTAAACCAAAGTAAAGTAAACTAATATAGAACTAAACTTAGGTAGGGCCTGTTAGGAAAACTAGGAATACAAAATTAGACGCCAAAGTAGGAAAGAGCCTTTTAGTCTAGCTAAAAGAGGATTAGAAACTGTAGCATTGTAATAAAGTGTGGACATGCAGAAAAAAAGACAAGTTTAAGAAAACCTGCCGGAATGTATAGCTAAACAAAGACTGTACATCCCATCCTGGTTCTTTACAAGCCAAACACGGATATTAGTTTGATTACTCCAGAACCTACTTCTTTTTTGACCCAAAATGGTAATGCCCAAGCTTGTCAACTCACCTTCTTCACTAGCCTCCAATGAGAATGGCATTTGGCTGCAGACAAAAATCAAATTCACCCTCCAGGGACAGAGACGTGCCAACACTACAGTGATCCAAAAGTATTTGCTATTGGTTTAAATAGGTCCAGAGATCTGAGCATTGGTAAGCATTGCTGAAACTGCTGAACTTCCCAGAGTGACCTCTAGGAGAGGGACAAAAAATGTCTTGACTAAATAAAATAAGGTGAGTGTAAAAAATTTAAAATTCTCATGAGATTCTAGTCATCCCTTTCCTAGTAAGTCAGACTTACTCCTGACGAGTAAGAAATAAACTACTTTATTCATCTTATTATCTATGTAATAAGTACTATACTTGGGGACATGGTAGGCATTAAATAAATGTAAGTTCCATTCCCCTCTGAGAATCTCTGGAAATAAATTTACACTAAGACATTAGTAGGCATTTGCTCCAAACCTATGCTGCTCAAAAGCTTCCCAGAAAATTGGCATCCTGGAAATTTTCTGATTTTCTTACTGATATGGTTTGGCTGTGTCCCCACCCAAGTCTCATCTTGAATTGTAGCTCCCATAATCCCCATGTCATGGAAGTGACCTGGTGGGAGGTAATTGAATCATGGGGGTGGGTCTTTTCTGTGCTGTTCTCGTGACAGTGAATAAGTCTCATGAGATCTGATGGTTTCATAAAGGGGCGTTCCAGCTTCATCCATGTGCCTTTTTGCAAAAAAAAAAATATTATATATATATATATATATATATATATATATATATATATATATATATATATATATATATATATATGGGGCATTCCCCTGCACTCACTCTCTTGCCTGCTGCCATTTAAGAAGTCCCTTTGCTCTTCCTTCACCTTCCACCATGATTGTGAGGCCTCCTCAGCCATGTGGAACTGTGAGTCCATTAAACCTCTTTCCTTTATAAGTTACCCAGTCTCAGGTTATGTCTTTATTAGCAGCATGAGAACAGAGTAATACACTTATGAAGTTTATTCCACATCATGGTAATCACGTGCTGATAAAATGGTCATTTCTTTTTATTTTAGACACTGAAATAGTGTGTGACACTCTTACGTTCATACACTTGGGATATAACACCATCTGTGGTATTTGTCACCAAAGACAATTAGCCAAGAGCTTTTGTTACTACTTCCTTCCTAAGCAAAACTTACAGAACCACATCTAAGAAGCTGATAACAAAGTAAGGCAGGCAGATGCCTGTCTGAAATATCCTAACTGAGACTATCTCCTCTTTTTTTAAACCACTAATCCTTGATGACATTTCATACTTTTGTTTTCTTATTATTTAATTACCTATTGAAATACTGTAGGTTGGGTTGTCAGGAAGCACTGGAGCTGTGATTGGATTGGTTATTGTTTGTAGATCAGAATTTACAAACTGAAGACCCACAGCAAACATTGATTTAGCCTGTTGTCCTTTTTTAAAAATGTTAGTTAATTGCCATCATTTTAAATGAAGGGATTTTTGCACAAAGGTTACAATTTCTACCTTCTCATAAAAAGTGGAAGATCTGGCAACTCTGAACTAGCATTACAACAACAGATGGGGCTGAGTGGTGGCCAATCCCTTGCAGGAGACCTAGGTCCTCTGTTTATCAGAAGTACCACTTGGCCTTTTCAGTCATCCTTGCCCCAATAGGCATCTGAATTTGCAAAACTTGTCTTAGATTTTGGAATATAGATTACTGATGCATGGCAAAAATATCATATAAAGGGTGTGCACACAGAGAAGTTAAGAAGTTAAGAAGTAGAAAGGCAAATCAATGCAGCCATTATAATCCTGTCATTTATATTTTCTAAGGCACCATCAGTAAACACTAAGGTTTGTGATTTTCACTGAATAATAAAGCCTAGTACCTTTTCATTGAAACCTAGCAAACACCATCAGAGAATAAGGACAAAGGGAAGACTGCATAGAATGTCAGAACTAGAAGAAAACTGAGAGGTGAATTAGCACAAAGTCTTCATTTTAGGAAAGATTATTGAGATTCAGAGATGTAAAGATCTTGTCCTCTTTCATAATAGCATCTTGATGGCAAAGTCAGGACTGTGGATCTCTACACTGAGGGTCTCTCTCTTACTCTGTGGCTATTCTTGCCTAAGTTATGTCTTCCTCTGATGTGTATAAATCAGCCAGTTTAAGAAAAGCATCACACTCTTCTAAGTGCACATTGCATATGTGTAACAGCTGACACTGATGAAGAAACAGAGATGAGCAGTGACATCCCAGACAGTTGGCAAGGTGTCACTCATACTATATCAAGAGGATGGAAAGTGAAAGAATTAAAGGATACTTAAAAGTCTCTTCACATTTTCTACATAGTACACAAACCTTTTCTATAATAGCCCTGAGGTCATCTTGCATCCACTTACTTAATTCAATGGACAAAACACTCACTATCCCATAAGGCAATCTGTCCTCTGTGTTGCTAGGTTGTTAGAAACTTTAACTTATGTTTCTAGGTGAAGGTGAAGGAAATCTATTTCTCTGTAGACATAACCCATGAGTGCTACTTATATTTTCACAGGGAACATGAAAGACGCTCACTCTTCTACCTCACATCACTTCAGTGCATTAAGTGTCTCCCCATAGTCCTCACTTCTGACTAAGCATTCTCAGTTACTCAGAGCTGCTCCTGGGTGTGACCAGGCTTCTAAACCTCCCACAATTCTCAACACACACACTCCTTGATTACTAAAATTGAACAATGCACTAATTAATGTTCTGAGAAACCAAGAGGTTGAGTCTCTAACTGTAGCTTTACCAAAGCCAAGCAGGGATCCAGAGAACAGAGACTTTCTGTGGCTTATAAGCAGCAATAGTAAAACAATTTCCCCTTGGTAAGATAGCTTTGTTACTAGTTCAAGGAATCCACTAGTGACAAATGAGTTTCTGAATCACCCTTTACACCGTAAACTAACTCTGCTAACGACTTAGTGAATGTTTGTCATTGTTGTCAATAATGGTATTGTAGCTCTAAAGTGTCCTGTACATGCCAATGGGTCATGGTGGTCCTCTTCACATGGCCATATATTCCAGGAACCTTCGGGCCACCAGTTCCCTATTTCTCTACCTGATACCACTGATATTTTGTCTTCTTTAGGGAATGCCTCTTGGTCGCTATGATTTTGGTCCAAAGCACTATATGTATCCTTCTTGGTATGGCTTTTTTCTCCTCCAATATGCTGGATTCCAACTCCAAAACACTCGGTGGTAATATCAACAATTCTATGTTTATTCACTGTTTTGCGTTTAGAGGAGCAGTGATCTGGTTTCTAGACTAAATAAGTGACTATCAGCTAGTCTTCACAGAAGTCTAGCAAATCCGCCAGTTCACCATGTCATCCACACTCAGAGAATCAGGGTCAAACTGGATGTCATGTGGTTCTGCCTCCTTCAGCTGTTTGTCTGAGTGATTCCCAAATTTTGTTATGAATAAGAATCATTGAGGATTGTATCAAAAATAGATTTTTATTCTGGATAATTTATATAAATACTCTGTCCTCAAGGGGGTGAAGTGTAACTCCCCATTCTTTAAGTGTGTGCTGTACTTAGTAACTACTATCCAAAGAGTATAGTATGGAAGATACTGACAGAAAAATAATTTTACAGTAGAGAAACCTGGCAAACATTAGTCAAGTGATTAAGATGAACATCTATAGTGATAAGTCATCCTGGTAGCATCTTGTCTTGATATCAAGGGATGAGAATAGCAACTTACCTCTAGGGTCTTTTTCTCAAAAACATGTGATTTCAGTCTAATCATGAGAAAAACATCAGACAAATCCAAACTGAGAGACAGTTTACAAAACATCTGATCAATACTCCTCAAAACTGTCAAGGTCATTAAAAATAAGAAAAGTCTGAGAAACTGTCACAGCTAAGAGGACATGGCTAAAGAGACTTGACTTAAATGCAGCATGGTATCCTTGAACAAAAAAGGAACATTAAGTAAAAGCTGAGGAAATCAGAATGAATTCTGAAGATTCCTTAAAAATGTATAAATATCAGTTCATTAATTATGGAAAATGTACCACAGTAATGTGAGATGTTAATATTAGGGGAAACTAGGTGTAGGGTACATGAGAACTCTCTGTATTATCTTCACAACTTTTCTATTCTAATATGAAAAGTTTATTTTGGAAAATTGACTCTAAGGTCTTCTCCAGGGATTGTAATTTAGGAGGTGTTTTTAAGGGGAAAGAGAGTCAGCTTTGCATATTATTAATACACTCCTCTGTTGATTCTGATGCAGTCAATTCGTAGGCCATATTTTGGGATCCCTGGTCTATTCTGAAGGTTCTTATTCTTGGATACACATTAGACATCTGTGTCCCATCTCAGATGCTCTGATTTAATTGATCTAGAGTGTAGCCTGTGCATTGGGATTTTTTAAGCCCCTTAGGCAATTTCAGTTGCAGCCAAATTTAAAACTTATTACTCCTGTGCTGTCCAATATGGAAGTCAGTAGCCACATGTGGCTATTCAAATTAAAATGTAATTAAGATTAAATAAAATTTAAAAAGCCTATAGACATTTCAATGATCAATAGTCACATGTGGCTAGTAGTTACTGTATTGGACAGCACTGATGTTGAATATTTCCGTCATTGCAATAAGTTCTGTTGGACAACGCTGGTCAATACCATTGGTATAAATGGCTTGTTTGTGGTCTTCTCCAAAGGCTTCTGAAAGGAAGAGTCCCTATGAGTAATATACAGGACAGGCTGCTCTAATCATTGGTGATGATTCAAATAATCAACTCATCCTAGATTTCCTGGGACTTTTAAGGCACTGAAAGTCTCATATCCTCCCTTCCCCCCGAGGACCGAGGAAACCCGTCGGGTACACCAGGAACCTTGGTCATCCTGTAGATCCAAAGTCTTTTGTGAAGGAGAGCTTCAATCACTAGGAAGCTGGGGCAGTTGGGTCTAGTCAGCTTGAGAGAAAAGAGCTAATACTGGGTTCACTTGAGCTAGCTGGTGCCAATATTGTCCTGTGTGCCCAGGCTTTCATGAGGCAGGGATGTTGAATAGTGAAGTCATCTGCTTTTGCTTGATGATTTAACCTCACGCTCCCTACTACCTGGGTGGAGCCTGACATACAGGCCACTACCCACACCTCTGTGCATGTGCTTGAACTCAATTTCTGGTGTCAGATGGGTCTGGGTTTGAATCCCTGCTCTACCACTTACCAGCTCTGGGGCCATGCAAGTTATTTGGCTTATCTGATCCTCCATTTCCTCATCTGTAAATGGGAAAAATAGTATTCCTTATGGCTGCTGTGAGGATTAAATGAGTTTATGTATGTAGAGCAAATAGCTCATAGCATTGTCTGATAACTATTAGTTGACTTATTTTTATTTGCCCTCACTTCAGAATATCCTTGACCATTTGCTAAGCATTTTCTGTGCTTTATTCAGTTCAGTTCAATCAACATTTACTGAATGTTCCAGGTTCTAGGAATGCAAAGACGAAATCAATTTAGTCTGCCTTCAAACATATTATAGTTGGACATATTATTATAGAACAATATAGTGAGTGCTACGAGAGAGGCAAACACAAAGTAGTATGGATAAACAGAGGAGGCACCCTTAACCAAAATTAGTTGGGTAGAAGTGGGTAGGGAGTCACGTCTGTAATCCCAGCACTTTGGGAGGCTGAGGCAGGCAGATCACGAGGTCAGGAGTTCGAGATCAGCCTGGCCAAGATGGTAAAGCCCCGTCTCTACTAAAAATACAAAAATTAGCCAGGCACAGTGGCAGGTGCCTGTAATTCCAGCTACTTGGGAGGCTGAGGCAGGAGAATCACTTGAACCCGGTAGGCGGTTGTTGCAGTGAGCCGAGGTCGCACCACTGCACTCCAGCCTGGGTGACAGAGCAAGACTCCAGCTCAAAAAAAAAGAAGTGGGTAGAGAGGGCTTCCTAGGGGAAGGGGATACTTAAGCTGAGTTTAGGAGGATATGTAAAGTGTGCTAAAAGAAGAGATGGCATTAGGAAAGGAGTTAGAGGAGTACAAGGGGGAAATACTGTTTCAGGCAGAGGAGCAGCATGAGCAAAGGTCCTCAGTTAAGAGCTTGTCTGACTTGTTAATGGGAAAGTCCATTGTTCCATATCACCGGGGCAATGTTGGCACATATTAGTTGTGAGTTGGGGTAGATAAGGCAGGAGAGGCAGGAAAAAATGTAAGTGCAATTGACAAAGGAGTAATAGGTATTTTCCTTCTTTTCCAGGAATTTAAAACATCTTTTAAAGCTCTCTGTTCTTCATAGTTAAACCTAATTTCTCAAGTTATCTTTGGTGACAAAGAGAATGCTAAAAGTTGTTCTGTCTCCTAAATCTAACAGGTGCTATTCTGCAATCTGACATGTATTTTGTTCTTTCATAAACAAAAATAAAATGCAATAAAGTTCTTGAAGGTGCCTCGTGAATCTTATAAATACATTACATTATCTAGACATTCTGAAAAGCATAAAGGAGTGATACAAGTTTATTCCACTTTCCTAGTTGGCCATTACAGGATCATGGGCATGTAGCTTTACAGTTTTCTGATCCCTTTCCTAAGATAAGACTTGTGTACCGTGTCTTAAGTGTCTGCTACGATCTTAATATGTCTCCCAAAATTCATGTGTTGGGAACTTAAACCCTAGGGCAACAGTGTTGAGAGATGAGGCCTAATGGGAGGTGTTTAATTGATAAGGGCTCCACCTCCATGAATGGATTAATGCCACTATAAATAGGACTTGTGGGAGCAGGTTCACCTTTTCTTCCACCATGGGATGGCACATCAAGAAGGCCCTCACCAGATGCTGGCACCTTGATCCTGGACTTCCTGGCTTCCAGAAATGTGAGAAATAAATCTCGTTTTTAAATAAACTATCCAGTCTCAGCTATTTAGTTACAGCAGCACAAACAGTCTAAGGTAGTGTTTATTTAAGTGTAGTAAGTACATCTGATGCCAACACCATTGGTAGAAATACTTTTTGGAAACTGAGAAACTGGTATAAAAGCCTTGACATGTAATGGCAAACACATTGGGTGGTGAGATGGGGGTATGTAATAGGCGGGATAATGAATCCTCCCTGCAAGATGTTCACCTACTAATCCCCTAAACCTGTGGATATGTTACCTTACACACAAAATGGTGACTTTGCAGATATGATTAAATCGATAATCTTAAAATGGGAAGATTATGTTGAACTATCCTCGATTATCCATTAGAGCCCAATATATTCACGAAGGTCCTTCTAAGAGGGAGACAGGAGGATTAGTGTCAGAAAGAGAGTTTGAAGATGCTCTGCTGCAGGCTTTGAAGAAAGAGGAAGCAGCCATGAGTCAAGTGGACTCTAGAGACTAGAAAATACAAAGACATAGACCCCCACAAGAGCTTCCAGAAGGAATGCCTTGATTTTAGCCCATTGAAAACCTGTTTTGGACTTCTGACCTCAAGAATTGTAACAGAATACATTTGTGTTGTTTGAGGCCAGTAAGTTTTTCATAATTTGTTAGAGCAGCAATAGGAAACCAACACAGGGTGTCAGAGTCTTCTGGGTAAGAGTTTACCTCTGCACTTTTGTCTGAAAAAGTGTCTGTCTCACCTCTAGAACTAACTTCCTCATTATGGAGCATCCGACAATAATAATAGCTAATAATTACATCGTGCTCACCATGGGCCAGGCAGTGTTCTAGGTGCTTCTAACCTATTAACGCCTCATATCTCATTGCCACCTTGTGATAAGGCATGAATATTAACCCTATTTTTCTTATAAGAAAGCTAAGGCACAGAGGGGATACAGTGGTAGTAAATGATAGCTTTGGAATTTCAACTCTGAATCATAACCCCCGTGTATTGATCCAAAATGTTTGCCTTTACACAAAGTCAAGGTCTGAGGGCCAATTGTCACTGCATTCCTTCCTCACATCCTCATGTTGCATGGTTTTTCTCACATTTAATATACCATGTATCTTCTCTCTGATCTTCTCACATTTTGAAATAAATGAAAACATTATGAAAATAAATCCCTGAAATACCAGCCTTTAGACCTTCATAGAAAGTGTCCAGTCAAATTTCCCATAAAGAATATTAATTATGCTCAAATGAGGAACAGAGCAGAGCCTGGCAAATCCCTGCAGATGTGGCAGGATGGCCATTGTGCCAGCGTAGACTCCATGCCTTTGTCTTCATGGGCTATCTTAGGAGAACTGTTTGTGACTCTCCTGGGGAATTCCAAAGGTGGGAAATGGAAAGGTTTCCTTGCTCTCACTGTGTCTTCTCAGAAAAATGAATTTTATGAACTGAACAAAATAGCCAATGCATATGATCAGTCTAGAAAAAAACAATTTCTACAGCCCAATTTTTCGGCACCAGCAGAAAATCATTTTCCTTACCAGACATCAATATTATACGGCTATTTGCCAGTAGTTACATGGCCTAATCTAAATCTACAGAGTGCTGCCCCAGCGCTCAAGGAATTTACAATAAATCATAACTAAATAATCTTACTAAGATGGTGCATGATGTTTGCAGAACAACGTGTCTGGAAATGATTGTTGGATATGTTCTTTAGCTTGGAATTTATTTTATAGTGTCCCTGAACTGCAACCAAGTTATCCGACACTACTGTTTTTCTTTCTTTCCTTCTTCTTCTTTTTTTTTTTTTTTTTGTGTGACACTACTGTTTTTCTAATTGTTCCATAACCCCTTGGATACATGGCTGCTGGCCCCAGGAAGTATCTGGCCGCTTGGCTGGAGATATCTTTGCACACACACTCATACCCATGCAGTGCTGGTTTCTCTCACTGAAGAGACTTGGATGGGATGTGAAACTATAAATCTCAAACCCAGGCAATAAGATCATTTAATCACTTGTTTAGAAATTTATTTTCAATTATAAGTCTTTCCTGGTTAGTGTCATAGATTATTTGAAAAAAAATCTTGCAAGAAAAACTAAACCTTGAGTCCTCTTCCAATATGTCTCTTTATTTCATCATAGTCTGATTATTATCAGAGCTTTGGATGTACACTAATGGTAGAAATGATGTAAGAATCATAAAAGTGAATGCAAAAACTCTTCTCTTTGGTGTTTAGATGAACAGTCACTTCATAAAGATCGCAAGGACTACACAGACACTGCGTGAGTCAAAAGCAGGAGGAAGGGGAATCCTTCCTCTACTCAAATTGCCCTCCTACTCAAGAAAATATGGAAATTTTGCTTCACATGATTCCTGTGATGAAAATTAATGAATTAACCCCAAATGCCCAACTTTATGTTGTACTGTGTAGATTTTATATTTTAACATTCTAATGGCCGTGTTTTCTGGTTGGTAAAAGCTAGACAAATCCCGAGCAGTATAGAGAAATCCTGTTATGATTTAGTCTTAAGCTATTTAAAATTTTCTAATCAATAGTGCAATTCTTCAAAGATATATATGTATGTATATGTGTGGGCACCATTAATCAAACAGATCTGACATAGTAACATGAGTGAACAGCTGGTCATGGCTGTAAAATAAAGCCACTCATTTTGGGATTTTTCTCACATGTCCACAGTCCAGAAATACTCACAGTACCCACAAAAATATTTCTTTATGAGTTTAGTGAGAACCTAGTAGACAAATATAAAATCACTGAAGCTATTCATTGATGCTTGAGATGAGGGCTTATATCTTTGAGAAATGAGAGGGTCACCTGGTATCTTAGTCCATTTTCACATTGCTATAAAGACATACCCAAGACTGGGTAATTTATAAAGAAAAGAGGTTTAATTTACTCACAGTTCTGCATGGCTGGGGAGGCCTCAAGAAACTTAAACTCATGGCAAAAGGGGAAGAGGCGTGTCTTACATGGCAGCAGGCGAGAGAGAGCAAGCAAGAGCAGGGAAAACTGCCTTATAAAACCATCAGATATCGTGAGAACTCACTCACTTTCATGAGAACAGCATGGGAGAAAACGCCCCCATGATCCAGTCACCTCCCACCTAGCCTTTCTCTGGACATGGGATTATGGAGATTAGAATTCGAGACGAGATTTGGGTGGGGACGTAGAACCAAACCATATCACCTGGTCTCTCTACTTCCTGTCAAGGAGGTTAGTGGGCAGAGAGGAGGGCTACAGAGGCTTCCTTTGAACAATCTCCTTTCTTTTCCAAACTACTTCTTTGACAGGCTGCTGGGTAGACTCTCTGGTCAAAGGATGGTCCCTACTTATGCTGCTAAATTGCTCGGTGACAAATTAGTAGACAAAGCTAATGCACCAAAAAAATGAATGTAGTTATAGTAATGCTAACATCCAAATTCCTCTTTGTAAGACATAGGCCTGTCAACCTTGTCTCCATACTTCAATTCCTATTTCCACTCACCTCCCTCAAGAACTTGATTTATAAACAGTGTGCCTACCATAAAATCATCACTCCCTCTATGTATTTATAGACGACTGAAGGAATATCTTTCTTCTTTGCATGCTACCGTGGTAGAAGGGTTTTAAAAGTCCGTGCTAGGCAGAGGCAGCCCTTTCTGCCCCTTTCTGTTCTCAGTTTATTAGGAAATGGCCTGAAATTCCAGCATGATAGCAAGCTGGCATCCTCTGTGGAATGTGCAAACCATGCCTGCATCTGCCCATTACCCTAGCTCAGTGTCTCTGGGCATTTCTGCAGTTGTTCTGAAGGCTTGGCGTGTTTATCTCCCACAGGCGGCTGAACCGCCTCCCGTTTCATGAGCAGACCAGTGGAATGCAGTGGAAGAGACCCAGGCCTCCGGCCACCCAGATTAGAGAGTTTTGTGCTGAGGTCCCTATATGGTTGTGTTAGACTGAACGACAGGCTCAAGTCTGTCTTTGCTCCTTGTTTGGGAAGCAAGTGGGAGGAGAGCAGGCCAAGGGGCTATATAACCCTTCAGCTTTCAGCTTCCCTGAACACCACCCAGTGTGGAGCAGCCCAGCCAAGCACTGTCAGGGTAAGTGGCGCCAGGCCAAGGATGTGACTTATAGATTCCAGTGGCTCTTTTAATTACCCGGTATAATAAGACATCATCTGCAGGGATTTGGCTGGGTTCATGCACTGATATTTCTGAATGAAGATTGTACTACTAAAATGATTGTAGCTTTTGGCTTTAATGATCTAACGTTAAAGACAGGGCTAATATGTAGTTTGGTATGATGGAAGGGGTAGAGAAGAATATGAAAATTTTATTAATGCATGTCTTCTGTAAAATGTTCATCCTAAACAAACAGCCCAGATCTTGCAGCACAATACAGGTATGCAGGTTAGCTGTGTGCAGTAAGTTATACATTTATTTGTATTTAGGCACTGGAAACTCAGATTTCTTTCTGGTTCTGATTTGTTGTAGGGGTTTTCTTTCACTGGGCTGTATTTTTGGTGCAGCTTAGGTGTCTGGAAGTGGATTTTGGAAGTGAACAGAAGAATAGTTGCCTAGTCTTTGATTGTGCCTGAATTTGTGTATTCCCTTCTGGGTTTCCCTGGCTCTAACTGGTAGTGTCTTTTGTTGGAAATGTATATCTCTTTTTTGTTGGAAATGTGTATGTGTGACCTTACAAGTTTGGATCTACATCATTGGTCATTTGCAGCAGAGCGCAGCAGGTGACCTGCTGAATTTTTCTCTGGAAAGAAAGAGGGAGGGAGCAGAGCCTGCATCTGACAGCTGTGTGTGCCTCCCGGCCGGATATCTGGTTTGCATCTCCCTCAGCTTAAAGCTCCCTTCAGCCTGGTGAGGCAAGTGTGACTGTGCAGCCAGCCCTGCCAACCCAGGCTGAGTTTCACTGCAAATCAAGGTTTGGCAGCTTCAGCCCAGACTGGAGTTTTCATGCTGAGATTTTCCTAGCATTTTGTGTTTCATGACTAAATATGGTTTGTGTTTCAAGACCAATGAGCTGGGAACTGTACTGTTCTTTCCCCTCCCATCAACTCATTTTTGGCACAAGACGCACTCTAGTCAGTTGGAGCAAATCCCCTGACCCGGGTGCAGTTCCAAAAGCAGACACTCGAGCGTGTTTTACCTAATTAGGAAATGCTTTGCTCCAAACCGAACTGCTCATTCAGGTTAGAGAGGAGCTGTAAACCACTGAGCTGACTCTTTCCGGGGACACAGTGACTTCTTCAATGACAGTGCTCCTTTTGGACATTATAACATTCTTCCTAGATTTTCTTTTTCTTTTTCTTTTTTTTTTGGCCAAGTAAAAAACATTTTTCTGCATTCTTGCTGATGCTGAGGGCCAGTCTCCTTTTTCTGAGTATAGTCAACCCCTCCTCCCAAGCCATCACTGCCCAACAAAACAGTTATTAAAAATATCCCAGCATTCATGGTAACCATACCTTCCCATTTTCAGAGACCATCCTAATTTGAAATGTTTTATCCTCTTTTCAGCCCTTACTTTTGGTTTGGAAAATGCACTTAGCACATCCATAGAGTGCCTGCTTATCCCCTGGGGCTGGCTGCTTCTGACAGATACCCCAGGCTCTTAGGCTTCTTCCCTTTTTTCTCCTTTATAGTTCTCGCCTCTTTTCTAAAGCTTCTTAATCTGCTCTGAGGGAAGCCAAATCACAGGAATGCCAAAATAATTCAGCATCTGGAAAGGGAAAAGAAGGGTGGGAAAGGAAAGGGCAAGCCATTCATGAGTCCCATGTCCATTCTTGCAAGTGGAATCCACACGTTGATTATTTTTATTCTAAGCCTGGAGCAGTGTGGAAAGAAAGCAAAGGTTAGAAACAAAGAGTTCTGGATAATGAAAATAATCACACAGTGATAGTAATAATAATGATGATGAAATTAGTATTTATTGAGAACTTAGAGTATCTCTGCCACTATAAATTATTTTAAACACTTTAAAAAACCCAATCTCTATAAGAACTCCATGAGGTATGTCCTGATATCATTACTGTTTTATAGTAAGGAAATTGTGGTTTAGAGATGTTAAATAACTGAAATCACACAGCTTTTAACTGTTGGAGCCTGGACTCAAATCCAGGCAGTCTGACTTCAGAGTCTAAGCTCATAATCACTGTGATCTGAAATCTTCGTTGTCCTAAATGTATCAGTTCAAGGCTCTTGGACAAGTCACTTCAACTCCTTAAGCCTTGGTTTCCTTGTCAGTTGAAGATAATATTACATGCCTTGACTTTAAAATATGTCATCTCAATTGCAGTTTTATGTTCTTTGCAAAGAGTTATTTTACATGAAGCACTGCTAAGGAAGTTTTAGGCCTTTGGCAAGATGCAGGTTTGATTTTGTGGGAATGTTTTGGCAGAACTCCAACTCTGTAATAGCTATTTTATTTCCCTACTTCTCAGATGTTTCCTTAAAAGAACTGCCTTTTTTATATGGATTTGGAGGTGCAATCAGTTAACCCATTTAGAAGAAGAAATTTTCTCAATTTGAAATCCTAATTGAGATCTCAATGCCAGGCAGATAACTCTGGGTGTCCTTCTCTTAACGGAACATTTCGACCTAATTGTGATTAGAAAAGTGGAAGAGGTCTTGAACTGGAAGCCAAGGGGTGGCTAAAGAGTACCTGATGTCTGGCTGGAGCTCTGCCTCTAATGCCCTGTGTGCCCTTGAGCAATCACTTCCTGATTTTCTTATTTGTGAAAATGAGAGCATTGGATGAAAATGTCCTCTAATATGCCTTCAATTTCTCAAATTTGTAAGTTGATAGGCTGCTCCAGCCTTTCTAATTTTATGAAAGGATCCAAGTATAAGATCCAAGTATAAAATGGGTTATTTAAAATTTTGTTTTATTACCAAAGAAATACACATTCAATATAGAAAATTAAAAAAATATGACAGAACCATGGGAAAATAATTAAAAACACCTATAAAACCCACCACTTCATAATAACCTCAGTCAACATCTTGGTAAATATGATTAATCTTTTTGCAATGCATAAAAAATACATTTTTAATGAGATTTACAATGTTACTTTTTCTAACCTATTACTCTTACATAAGAACTACCTTTTGCTTATCCTCTTACTCTACCTTTTTAATGGCAGTAAAGTATTCTACCATATGATATATAATCCATCAGGCTCACCCTCACTTGTTGGACTGTTAGCTTAACAGTGACTTTTATTAACGGTGGATAATTGCAGCCCCTAAAATTTAAAGCACCTTCTCAGAAAATTTTATTTCAAAGCTTCTCTGAGGGTAAAGTAAAAGTCCTCATGATTCAAAAAGATTTTTCCATTAAACACTTGACCATTTTAACATTTCTAAATTTTTACATGCTGCCTGTCCCTCAAAAATCTAGCTTTTTGAAAAAATTTCAAAAAGGTATAGCATATCTAGAAAAATGTGCATTTGGGTTGATACAGACAGGAAAATCTAGATGCTTCTTTAACATAAGGTAGGCAACTTGTCTCTGCAAAGATCTGGTCTCAGACTCTGGATTTCCCATCTGTGCTCTGCAGTTTGTTTATTCATTCACTGGCTCTATCCACCTTTAAAGTGCTCACGAGAACACATGATATGCCGGTCACTACACTAAGGTTGTATCAACATAGAAGTCAGAGTTTCAGAAGTCAGAGTTTCAGCTTACTGAAAGCTTATAGTGTAACTAAAGTACTTCCAGATACATGCTATATTAGATAAGGGTCAGAGGATAGCACTAGGACACAGAGGAGGGCCCCCAAACCCAGCCTTGGAGGTGGGAGTTGTCAGGTAAGTGCCACAAATGCCCAATTACAGCTGAGGCTGCTTCCTCCCTGTTTTCTATAGAATCCTGTGAAGCAGCTCCAGCTATGTGTGAAGAAGAGGACAGCACTGCCTTGGTGTGTGACAATGGCTCTGGGCTCTGTAAGGCCGGCTTTGCTGGGGACGATGCTCCCAGGGCTGTTTTCCCATCCATTGTGGGACGTCCCAGACATCAGGTGAGGAAAATTATGATTGGAACATAACAGGACACAGATTAGGTTCCTCTGTGTTCATGTTTATCCCCAGATTGTCTATCTCTTTCTGCCCAGAAGTTATGTAACCTTGTTACAAATAGACCTCTAATGATTAAGGTCCAGGAGTAAATGCCAATTTCACATATAATGTAGACAGATTATCTGATGGGCATCTATCAGATACAAAGTCTGCCCCTTTTTCATGTCCTTTTTGTCTAAATATAGTCATTATCATCATCATCATCATCATCAAATCATTTCATCACCATCAGAAATGCTTATACATTATCCTGATGTATACCAAAGCTACTGTTTGGAAAGAAACTAAAATAAAAGTCCAGGTCACTTAACCATACAGGGCTGATGTTAGATGAAAGCAAGCATCGATACCAAATGCAATTTTACATAATATTACCTGTCAACAAAATATATTTGGACAGCCGCATGGTAATTTTACACATTATGTGTAAACAAAGTATTGGTGGCATCACATGGTAAAAACTCAGTAATTTCACCTCAGAAATTCTTCTTCACATCAGAAATGTAGTTTGTGCATTGAGGCTATCTGATTGATGTTTATGCCTCTCTGCTTGGGATATATTCATGAGAATAAATAATAGAAACCTCTCCCAATGAATGCAGTCTGTCTGAATTCATTGATCTTTATGCAGTGGAGATATTCTGCACAAGCCGCTATTTTATGGGTCCATAGTAGCCATGGCTGTTTTGTAGTTCTAAAATAGTCACTGCAGTGCAATTTAAAATCTAGTAACAATAATTTTTTAAGAACTTCACCTTAATGATTTTTTTTAAATGCAGCTGACTAATTTAGGCAAATGTCTTAACAGTTGATTGGTATGAACTTATCCATTAGAAATCAAGCCTCAAGTGGTTATTTGTAGATGCAATGCTTTTGCTTATAATAGTTAGAAAATAATGCTCATATTCTTTTGGGTAGGTGATGACTTTAAAAGTACAGTTTAAAGGATTTATAAGACACAAAATGCCATTTAACAAATATGTAAAATTGTATACATTCTTTCAACAAATAATTATTGAGTGCCACATATGTGCCATGCAATTTGCTATAGTGATGGACAAGACAGACATGATCTCTGCCCTAAAAAAGCTCATCAAGGAACATAGGAGATAAAAATACAAAGTAAAGTTGACTTTCCCCCAACATCTCCTGTTATTTGGAGGCAATTCAGGTCTTTTTCCAATCAACTGCAGAATTTTGCTTAAGAGCATAGTGGCAATGAGACTCAATATGTTTATTGTTGCTGATAATCAGAAGAGGAACTTCCCATCTCAATGACTTAACCTTTTGTGGCTTGGCTGTAATTGATTCACAAGTTTTGGGAGATGCTGACTCATAATGTGTTGAACCTTTTTAGGGGGTGATGGTGGGAATGGGACAAAAAGACAGCTACGTGGGTGACGAAGCACAGAGCAAAAGAGGAATCCTGACCCTGAAGTACCCGATAGAACATGGCATCATCACCAACTGGGACGACATGGAAAAGGTATGGGAGGTTTGCTGCAGCTTGGGCCCTCAGGATGCATAATCCCTGTGTTCTCTGATACAGAACACCACACTACTGCTGGGGAAATAACTGGCTCACATTGCTCAACTGTACTTTTACTTGTTAATGTTCATTCTGGGTTATTACCCATTGAAAAAAAAATCCTTGTAGCCATAAAAAATGATGAGTTCATGTCCTTTGTAGGGACATGGATGAAGCTGGAAACCATCATCCTCAGCAAACTGTCGCAAGGACAAAAAACCAAACACCGCATGTTCTCACTCATAGGTGGGAATTGAACAACGAGAACACATGGACACAGGAAGGGGAACATCACACACCGGGGACTGTTGTGGGGTGGGGGGAGGGGGAGGAATAGCATTAGGAGATATACCTAATGTAAATGACGAGTTAATGGGTGCAGCACACCAACATGGCACATGTATACATATGTAACAAACCTGCACGTTGTGCACATGTACCCTAAAACTTAAAGTATAATAATAATAAAATTTAAAAAAAAAAGAAAAAAAAATCCTAAAATGTTTCTTTAAAAAAAAATCCCTTGCCAGGCATGGTTGCTCACACGTGTAATCCCAACACTTTGGGAGGCCAAGGTGGGAGGATCGCTTGGCCCAGGAGTTTGAGACCAGGCTGGGTAACATAGTAAGATCCTGTCTCTACAAAAAATAAATGAAATTAGCCAGGCATGGTGGCACACACCTCAGTCCCAGCTACTTGAAAGATTGAGGTGGGAGGATCACTTGAGCCTGGGATATGGAGGCTGCAGTGGGCCAAGATCCTACTCCAGCCTAGGTGACAGAGTGAGATCCTATCTCAAAAAAAAGAAGAAAAAAATCCTGCAGGGCACAGTGACTCACACCTGTAATCTCAGCACTGGATCACTTGAGGCCAGGAGTTTGAGACCAGCCTGAGCAACATAGCAAAACCCTGTTTCTACTGAAAAAAAAAAAAAAAAAAAGGTTTAATTAACAGTGTGTGGTGGCATGCAACTGTAGTCCCAGCTACTCAGGAGGCTGAGGTGGTAGCATCATTCGAGCCCAGGAGTTCGAAGCTGCAGTGAGCTGATCATACCATCAGCTGTTGCACTCCAGCCTGGGCAACAGAGCAAGACTCTGTCTCTAAAGAAAAGGAAAAAAATGTCCTTGCCTATTAGGTTTTATTAACTAATTAAAGGATGATAGTTCTGTAGATGAGAAGAGTAGCCCTTTGCCACTGCAGGGAATTAATCATCTGTTGCTCACGTCAACTCTGTTGCCCTCCTAGGACAAGCAGTGCATGAGCAGCAGCTCAGAGAATGAAAACCCTCCTTTCATTTTCATCAGGGGCTGCATGGTTATCCCTCTCAGTGCAATATAGCTAAAGGGGCTTGAAATGCTGGGAGTAGTCTTAAACAGCCCATTCTTGAAAGGTTTTCATTAACTCACTCTAAACATCTAAATTAAAAATGTTTTTGTTTTCACTATAGTAAACAGGAGTGTAACATTGCAGGTTTGGTACATTTCTGAATGCCTCTCCACACACTGAAGCACAAGAGCCACTGAAAAAAGCTATATGATAAATATTTTAAAAATTATTTATCTGTGTTGCATTACATGAGGCCTTATCTCCCAGACACTTAATAAAAGAGCTAATGAGAAGAAGAGCTAAATTCTAAGATTTTGATGTTTGGTCATTAAACATTACAGACACCAGTGATCAGAGAAAAAAACAGAAGAAATAATGAGAAAGTGACATAAAAAATTTTAAATGCAGCAAGATATATCAGAATCACGATATCTGGCCTTTTATTTATCTATCGGCTCACTACTACTACTACGCACACAATTTATCACTTAAAAGAAAAATACATAATGTTGTTAGAATTTATCAGCAGTAATGCTCCAAGCTCTATCTTTCTACAAAAATTTCATATCAGTAGGTTTGCTTGAGGATTCTAGATTTGGTAAGATTGCAGTTTGCACAGAGAAAAAGATATCAATATCAATAGGAAAATATTCTTTTAGAATTTCTCCATGGAGCTGACAACATCTTAGAATGTATCGTCCTAGACAGAGACTATTGGAAGAAAAAACTTTCCTTATTTCTAAAATTTAAATTCAAAGTATCTTCTGGTGGGGACGAAGAGAGAGAGAGGAGAAAGGTTGCTTGCTGTGACTGGCAGGATTTTTTGAGCAGTCTGCTGCTTTCACTCCACTAAAGAAACAAAACTTTCAGAAGTTTCATTTCCCTTCTATAAACCACAAATCCAAAACAAAAGAAAGTGGAATAAGATAGTCTTTAAAGCTAATCTTGGTTTTGCTAATTTGTAAGCTTTCACCAGCAGTTCTTGTTTTGCTCTGTTTTGATTTTGAGTGAATCTCATATTCCTGGCTCTGGTGGAGAATTTTCGTGCTTTTAAAGATTAATTAATTTAGTCCTTTTTGCAATGGTTTGTTCTTTTCGGCATCTAGGAATTAAAGAAAGTGCTCAACCATAAATAAATGTAGTTATGTCCAAAGTACCTTCACATAGACACACTATACACAGGCGTGGGCCTTTTGGAAACACCTGAAGGCCAAATGTCTGACTGTGAGTGGAAGATCCAGAGTGTGCTGATAGAGGAAGCTTTTCTCATCCCTCGAGAGCAAAGAGGGTGATGGAGGCAAGAGTCAGAGAGCCCTGTTCTCTTCTTCATGTACACTGCAAAGGGCAACTTCTCTAGAAGCATTAAAAGTGTCAATTAGGTTTTCAAGTAAGCGTCATTTATTCATATATACATTCATTTGTCTTTTTATTTACAAAATTAAATCATTTTCCCATGAACATTAAAATGGGAAGAGAGAACAAAGAAAATAGAGTTGAATAATAATAACATTGATTCTGGACCAGACACTGGGCTGGACAATAACTCGAGGGTTACCTTATTTATTTACACAAAGACCCGATGAGGTACACACTAATTATTTTCATCTCCCTATTACCAATCATGAGACTGAAGCTGAGAAGGGTTAAAAACTTGCCTAAGCTCACACAACTAAGAAGTGTCCGAGCTGGGCTTTGAACCCAAGGTTTGATCAAGGGTTGTGCCCTTAACTGCCATACCATCCTGCCTCACAGATCTGGGTTAGGGATTCTGCTCAGTCACTTAGTAGATGTGAATCCTTTGGGAAGGTACTTACACACTTTGAGCTTCAGTCTCTGCATCTATAAAACCATGGACACATGCATGAGTACTTGTAGCATTTCCTTTGGTCTTGGTTTCAAGTAGCTTCTGGTCCCTTTTTGGGAAATGCAGGACCTCATGACAGCACATCATTGTGTTTCTCCTCTGTCCCCCAACTCACTAGATCTGGCACCACTCTTTCTACAATGAGCTTCGTGTTGCCCCTGAAGAGCATCCCACCCTGCTCACGGAGGCACCCCTGAACCCCAAGGCCAACCGGGAGAAAATGACTCAAGTAAGTATGCTACCCCAGCACACAACACTGTGGGGTCTGGGGAAACTTCTGTTAGAAGGAGGCTATGCAGCACAGCAGAGAGAAGGCCGGAGCTAGGAGTCCACCAACAGACTAACAGCCTTCAGTGAACTCAGGGATCCCAAAGGACAGGAACAGCTTGAAAGTACTTGCATCCTTCCTGCAGGGACCAGCCCTTTGCCTCCAAAAGCAATAGGAAATTTAAAAGATTTCACTGAGAAGGGGCCACGTTTAAGTTATAATGTCTAAGGAGAAGTCACTTCAAAATGCAGCATCACATACAATAGGAATTTGGGTTCCAGAGTCAGACATATCTAGGTTTGAAAACTGGATCTGCCACTTATCAGTTATGTGACCTTAAAGAACTCCGTTAATTTCTCAGAGCCTCAGTTTCCTTGTCTATAAGTTGGGAGTAATATTAATACTATCATTTTTCCAAGGATTGATGTGAACATTAATGAGGTGAAATGACAGATGTGTATCATGGTTCCTAATAAACATCCAAAATATAGTACTTACTATTGTCATTATTATTACTTGTTTGAAGCTAAAGACCTCACAATAGAATCCCATCCAGCCCACCAGACAGAGCTCTGAGTTTTCTAGTTTGGAAGAGCTATTAAATAACAACGTCTAGTGTCAATTCTATACTTGTTATGGTCAAGTACTGGGCTCAGCATTTTACATTCATTGTCTCTTTAAGTTCTAGCAATGTGAAGCAGGAACTATGATTATATTGACTACATAAATGAAGAAATTGAGGCTCAGATACATTAAGTAATTCTCCCAGGGTCACACAGCTAGAACTGGCAAAGCCTGGGATTGATCCACGATCTTCCAGCATTGAAGAATCATAAATGTAAATAACTGCAAGGCCTTTTCCTCAGAAGAGCTCCTGGTGCTTGCACCAACCCACTAGCACTTGTTCTCTACAGGGGAACATCTGTGGGCCTGGGAATCACTGCACGTCGCAAGAGATGTTGCTTCTGATGAATTATTGTTCCTGTCAGTGGTGTGAAGGCAAAAAAAAAAAAATGGTTGGAAATTATGGCTTGCTAGCAAATGATGTCAGACATTCTGGTTAATAGAGTAGGAAGGGTCTTACAGATGGAGAAATGAAGACCCACGGACATCTCCTGATGCACAAACTTCTCACAAGTGACCTGGAGGGGCTTGGTTCTAATCTTGTCCCTGGACTGCACCAACTGGGGCACTGACATTCTATGTGGTCCTCTATTACCATTGGGCTGGTCCTGTCTTCCAGGAACCAGGGCCTCTCCCACTGCAACCAGAATGGCCTCAGATTCTAGGGTTAGCATTGACCCAGTAACTACATAAAAAAGTGGAATAGATTAAATAGAACCTCAGACAAATCACAGAAATGGGGCTAAACCTAGCCAGCCTGAGCTTCAGATTTAAAAGTTCTCTTTCTTTATACCAGGGAAATCAAAACCTGGATGTTGTCTTCTCTTTTTCTTCTGGCTTTGACATAGTTAACAAGCCCTAGGATGTCTGCACTGGAAAAATGGGAGATCTCATTTAGTCCAAACTCCTCCTCTGTTAAGAGACCTGGAATAAAGCCACTATTAATCAACTATTAGTTTGGTGACTATTAGTCAAAGCCAGGACCAGAGCCAGAAGCTGGACTTTCCTTTCCCCTGGCCAAACCTTGTGTGCACACTGTTTCTTCCCCTCCCCACCCTGTCAGGCCATTGATGTGATGGCTCCCCATTCACACCTTCATTTCTCCTCTTTAACGTGACCAGGGCTGTTCTGAACCTCCTTACTTTGGCCTCCTCTGCCCAGAACAGGTCAGGCCCCTCTGCATCCATCAACCAGGTGTGCTCTCCTGACCATTCTTTGTCAGATGGGCACCTTCACTAACTCAGCTCTTTGGATTGCTTTGCAGATTATGTTTGAGACTTTCAATGTCCCAGCCATGTATGTGGCTATCCAGGCGGTGCTGTCTCTCTATGCCTCTGGACGCACAACTGGTAGGTGGCTGGGCGGGACAGCAAGCTGGTTGGAGCGCACTGCCAGAGATGGGATTGAATGGTCGTTAACACGTGGGGGTGACGGACTGGAGTTGAGTTAGAATGGACACGGCTGAACCCAGCCCTAAAAGATCTTCTTCTAGTGTTCAAAATAAGCCCTTGATCTCATATTTCTAGCAGAACTTTTTTCTACTGTTTTCCTCTTCCTGTTCTTTACTTTTTTTCATCTTCCCCGAGCCCTGTCCCACCTCACCTCTCCTATCACATGCCCTGTTTTCTCTTTTTAAATAAGAGGCTCGGAAATTCCCTCTCCCCCAAGGCTTCCCTCTACTTGTCCAGCAAGTAACCACATGCCAGCTGCCATGGTGACTTATCACGCCCAATTGTCTCCCAGGCATCGTGCTGGACTCTGGAGATGGTGTCACCCACAATGTCCCCATCTATGAGGGCTATGCCTTGCCCCATGCCATCATGCGTCTGGATCTGGCTGGCCGAGATCTCACTGACTACCTCATGAAGATCCTGACTGAGCGTGGCTATTCCTTCGTTACTACTGGTGAGGCCTGTGGGAGATAAGGGGGAGAGGGGAGCAGTGTGTTGCTCAGTAACTTCCAGGACCATCCTCACTATCCAAGGAGATGATGGGATGAAGTTTTGCAAATGGCAAGGCCTGGCTCTAATGCACAGAGCAAAGCACATCTTTCTTTGCTGTGTGAAGTTGCAAAATGATTACACTATTTCCTTGAGGAGAACAGTTATAGACACCCAGTGTTATGCATTAGTCAGTGTTGTATAATTGATCTTTTTTTAATCCCCTCCATTAGCAAATAGAAGAAGATTGTGCAGAGACTGAAGATGGCATGGTGTGGTGATTGGCAGGAGACATTGTGATAGGACTCGAGTCCCAACTCTGCTACTCAGTAGCTCTGTGAGCTTGGACAAGTTAACCAACCATAGTCTCTTTATTTGTAAAATGGGGATAATAATAGACCCTATATCACATGATTGTTATCAGTATTAAATGGAAGAACGCATGTGGAATACTTGACATAGAGTAAGCATTCAATAATTGTTAGCTATTAACAGTGATACTTATTAATAGCTAACACAGTGACATATGTGTATTCAGATTCTAAGCCGGTGCACCCAGTCCTCCCTTCACAAGAGGAAAGTGTCAGCATTGCCAGAAACATTGTATGTCCTCAGTGCTGGTGGCTCCAGCTACCTGTCCTCCCCTTAGCAATTTGGTATTGTCCAAACATTTAGGTTTCTGAACATGCCTGAGGCTTATTTTATGCTCCAAATTTGAGGCTTGAGACTTGAACCCTGCCAATGTTAAAGTCTCCACTTGCAATATGAAGTTGAATAATTGCATTCCTCCTCTGCTCCCTACAAAGAATCCCAAGATGCCTCTAAAAGGTTCCTAGAGCCTCAGATATAATTAATAGCCTAGAACTTCAGAGAGCAGAAGTCTGAAAGGTCTCTCCCTGCCCACTTCTTCCGTATCTCGTTCAGTATGCACCGCTGAAACCTTCTGGACTAGGCCTGGTCCTGAGACAGCACCACCTCTTTCCTGGAGGGTGAGAAATGTGCCAAAGGTTTAACCTGCTATCCACTGGCCCAGGCAACAGGATCTCAGACTTTTTGAAAATTGTGAGGCCCCTGAGGAGCTGATTCAGCATAAGATATCCTGGTTAACTGAAAATACAATATAACAAACTTTCTGTCATAAAATAATTATAACACAGAGTAGTTATCCTGCCCACCCACCCCAAAAAATGTTATGGTACAAAAGGATCCGCTACTGTGTGCCTTTCTCTAGCTAGCTCATTTTATTCTTGTTATGCATTTCCCAGACAATGCATGCTGAGGGCCTACTATGCATGAGACACTGTCCTAGGAACAGAGGTGGTTCCCTGGTGGCCCTACTACGTCATTATCATTGTGGATTTTGGATTGCAGAATATTGAACTGACACATTTTTTGATGGCACATGTCTTGAGGGAGAGACTGCAGTAGGGCAGGTGAATCTTTGCCACCTGTGCAGACCCTAATGTTTGCCACAATGTTTGTATCTGGTTGACAGCTGAGCGTGAGATTGTCCGGGACATCAAGGAGAAACTGTGTTATGTAGCTCTGGACTTTGAAAATGAGATGGCCACTGCCGCATCCTCATCCTCCCTTGAGAAGAGTTACGAGTTGCCTGATGGGCAAGTGATCACCATCGGAAATGAACGTTTCCGCTGCCCAGAGACCCTGTTCCAGCCATCCTTCATCGGTAGGCAACAAACGCCCTTTTCCTGGGAAGGGGAGTCATTGTCTTCTTCCATATCAAGCCAGCCTCCAGAACATGGAGACAAGTGACGGTTGCCCCAAGACCAAAAGCATTTCTAAACCAGAAAAAGGGAAAGTGCCACATTTTCAAGGCGAGAAGACATAATGAGGCCAGGAAAAAGGTTTTCTTCCTAAGAAAACACTATCTATGTTGCAGTTAAGCCCAAAGCATTCATGGTGTATGATGAAAGAATTAAATAATGCCTGTGCTTTGGAGACAGCGGAAAGGGTAGCAAGGGTGTGCTGAAGGCTGAGAATTTGGGAATGCTGGGGGAGAGAAAAATAGAAGAGCACTCAAAGTGAGTCTGTTCCTACATTCACATTGTCTTGGAGAGACAGGTTTGCATAGTTGTTTACAGAGGCAGGCTCTGAGAGGGGTGAGCCTGGGTTTCAGTCTTAGTTCTCTTGATCTTGGGAAAGTCACTTAACCTCCCAACTAGTCTCCTCATGTATAAAGCGGAGACTGTAATATTACTTATGTCCTAGGATGGCTGTGAGAATTACAGGAGATAGATAAAGAGCACTTAGCCCACTGCCTGGCAAAAGCAAGCATTCAATAATTATCAGATATCACTAGTAATTAATAATCAGGTAGTGCTATTGTTAACGTTATCATTACATCACAGCACTGCAGAAGATGAAAGGGCACCTAGAGGTTTTTTGAAAACACCTGCGTCAGAAATTAACAAAAGTCCAGACCCCCACCCCCACCCAAAAAAAATGTTAGCAAGATTGGAAAAATGAGCCTTTTCCAACAGGATAAAAAATAGAGTAAGTTTCCCTGATAATCCAGCCCCATTAGCTTTGGGGGCTGGGGCAGATGCAACGTAGCTGTTAAATGGAGACCTGGGAGAGCTCTGAAGAGTTGTTGCAACATTGGCTCAGCGTGGAAGCTTTGCAGGGAATTGGAAGGCTTCATCCCTTATTTAAACCACATGGAGTGAGTAGTGAGTCTATTAAAAAATCAGTGATACCTGTTGTAGCCCACACCTCAGGATGCTGCAGCAGGCCTTCCTCATTAGAAGGCAGGCAGGAAGACATAGAGCATAACAAGACCCTTTTGTCTCTCAGACAGGTGGTTCCTAGATTATTATGTCTTCCCAGCCTCAGTCCACTGCAAGATCATCCAGATGTTCAAGTCTGGTCTTCCATGTCTAGCCTGGGTTTTACTCTCCACTTAAGGACCATGGCCTGTGTCTCTTTTCCAGGGATGGAGTCTGCTGGCATCCATGAAACCACCTACAACAGCATCATGAAGTGTGATATTGACATCAGGAAGGACCTCTATGCTAACAATGTCCTATCAGGGGGCACCACTATGTACCCTGGCATTGCCGACCGAATGCAGAAGGAGATCACGGCCCTAGCACCCAGCACCATGAAGATCAAGGTACTGTTCAGTGACAGACCCAGTGGCAATGCCGCCAGCAGTGTCAGCCCTATAACCACAGATAAGAACTCTTCAGAGACTGTATTTTGGTGACATGCAATTGTGGGTTTTAGGGGTAGGTAATGGACACAAATCTCATATTTTACAGGATGTAAGTCAATCTAGTTCATAAGAAAAATTGAGTTACTTTATATAAAATTTGATCTCTATTTATCCTTGTCTGTCAGCTACTTTCAGTAGCTGCAGTCAAAGTCAACAGAGCTCCCCACATGCTCATCTCTCTTTAAAATATGCATTTTGTTGTTTTTCTCGACACAAAAATAGTGCATCATGCATGTAACACATTTTTTAAAAATACTGATGACCTAGACTTATTTCTGAAGAACTTCAAACACTGTAGATTTAGGAGGAGCTTATACTCTTCCTCCACTACTAACCTCAATCCTGTGGCCAAGAATTCAAATTTTATCCTCATTCCTCTGTCTAGCACATCTTTTGGTACAGGTGCTCAAAAGCACAGAATGACTCTAGGATGACCAAGCTCAGTCCCTGAGCCACCCAGGACCCCTGTATGTGGTGTGAATGTTGAGCCCTAGTGAAGGGAACTCGGGGATTAAATGGAGATAATTCTTTGGAGGCAAACTTAACCTGTGGCTGGGTCACTTCTCAAAGGTTATTATCACTCTCTGAAGTCAGAAGGCCACACTTGGGACCCTCTGACCCATGTCACAGGAAGTAGAGGGGCAATTCTAGTGCAGTTCACACACGTGGGTATTTAAACAAATTATCTCCTCTTTGCACTCCCTTCTGTTTTTAGAAGGAGTATGCAGCTAACACTAGAGAGTGTGCTAGACTGAAACATGCACACTTTCTCTCTCCATGATAGGCTCTGGCTAGTCCTGCCCTAAAAGACTTCAGCATGAGAGAAGAGAGACTGTTTTCCAACAGCGTTTGTGTTTCTTGGATGCCATTCTGATCAGCTCTTACCCCCCTTACTTCCACACAAGAGGGAGGTGAATGAAGCCAGTAGCTGGGCTCACTACTGAGTTGATCTCATGAGGGTCGATAACAGAAAGAGGCTATTGCTAGAGTTGGGCAGTTCCTAGTTCTCTAAACTTGGTTTCTTGAATAGAAATTAATGTGAAACTCTGGGCCCCGATGTAATGAGATAGTATAGAGAACCAAGAAAAACCTAGGACAATAAGATGATAACATTTGGCAAAAATGAAACTGGATGAGAGACCTATGGGAACTCCCATAGAATTTGTCATAGGCTGTTCTTGCGTTGCTATAAAGAAATACCTAAGACTTGGGTAATTTGTAAAGAAAAGAGGTTTAACTGGCTCACAGTTCAGCAGGCTGTACAGGAAGCATAGCTCTAGCATCAGCTTCTGGGGAGGCCTCAGTCTCAGAAAGCTTCGAATCATGGTGGAAGGCGAAGCAGGGGCAGACACCTCACATGGCAAAAGCAGGGGCAACAGAGAGGGCAGGGGTGGGGGGAGGGTGCCACACACTTTGAAATAACCAGATTTCATGTGAACTCGGAAGAAGAGCTCACTTATCACCAAGGAGATGTCCTAAGCCATTCATGAGAGATCCACCCACGTGATCCAAACACCTCCTACCAGGCCCCACCTCCAACACGGGGGATTACATCTCAACATGAGATTTGGAGGAGATATCCAAACTATACTAAATTCTTTACAACTTTTCTGAAAATCTAAAATTGTTCCAAAATAAAAAGGTTATTTTTAAAACCAAACCAAAACATAAAACCACCTGGGAGAACCCAGGTTTGAATATCAGATCTGACACTGATATAACCGGTGTTACCTGGGCCAGTTACTTAAACTTTCTCAGCCTCTGTTTCCTCATATGTAATATGGGAGTAATTTAAGACTTATTCTTCAAGATGTTTATGAGAATCAAATGAGATAATACATGTAAAATGCTTAGCATAGTGCCTGGCATATAATTACATGCTCAGTAAATATCAGTACTTTGTATTAAGAAGTAAATGCTCAGAAGATAAAGATTAAACTGGTTAGCCAGTTTTCACTGTTCTCTGTGCCTAAACCATTCATTTATTTAAGAAACATGAGCATGCCTTGCAGGTTAGGCCTGTGCACTGGGAAAGGCCAACCAGTGCAGCTTAAGAGGCACCTATTGCAAGGGAATGTCCCCAGCAGGGGACCCTGAGTTCCCCAATGTTAAACAGAGCATCTGGGTGAAAAGTGGTAGTTCACTTCACCACGTGGAAACACATTTGTATACTAAGTCCTAGCACAATTAAAACTTCTCCTTTGAATAGGCTAGGGTTTGTTTCTACAGAAAGTGTATCGTGTTGAATTCTGAGGCAGAGTTCATGGAAATCAGAGGCATTGCCAGGGTTCTTAAGTGGGGGCCATGGCTGGATTTGGAGCCAACTTTCAGTTTGCTCAATAATGTGGTCGAAGAGTTACAGGTGAGAAAAACGAATGTGCTTACTGAAGAATTTCTAAATCCATGGCTCCCTCTGGCGGTCCTGCCAAGAACATGACACAATTAGGACACAATTGGCATCTAACAGACAAGCCTGTGTCCCTGCTGAACAAGAAACTAGGCCATGGTAGAACATCCAGGCTCTGTCCTACCGCACTAACGACTGCACTAATGATGACATTAATGACCATTCTTTTTCATCTTGACTGACAGATCATTGCCCCTCCGGAGCGCAAATACTCTGTCTGGATCGGTGGCTCCATCCTGGCCTCTCTGTCCACCTTCCAGCAGATGTGGATCAGCAAACAGGAATACGATGAAGCCGGGCCTTCCATTGTCCACCGCAAATGCTTCTAAAACACTTTCCTGCTCCTCTCTGTCTCTAGCACACAACTGTGAATGTCCTGTGGAATTATGCCTTCAGTTCTTTTCCAAATCATTCCTAGCCAAAGCTCTGACTCGTTACCTATGTGTTTTTTAATAAATCTGAAATAGGCTACTGGTAACTTCTTGCGTTGGCCTCCGATCAATACTCGACTGATACCATTTGTTAGGTTGACCTCACCCGTTACAGGATGGCTCCCTCTAGTGGTCCAGCTGAGCACATGGCAATTAGGATGGATATGTTTCTCAGGCAAAGGGTAGAATCACATTACCTGAAGTGGGGAGCTGCACTTCGGTTCTGTAAAGAGGAATAATTTGAGAATACATTGGAGATTTTAAAAAATAACATGGATTAAAGTGTATCAATGGGATAATCTACAGTACCTCACAACTTGCAAAGTGATTATATTACTTTACACTCATAACCCCAGTACTGGTAACCTGATGGGTGAAAAGAAAATAATTACACACACACACACACGTATATATACACATATACACACATATATATGTATGTGTGTGTGTACATATATATATGTATGTGTGTATATATATATATGTGTGTGTGTGTGTGTGTGTGTGTATTAGAGATAAGGTCTCACTCTGTCACCCAGGCTGGAGTGCAATGATGTAATAATAGCTCATTGCAGCCTTGATGCAGCCTTGAACTTCTAGGCTCAAGCAATTCTCTCCTCTTGACTTTCCAAAATGCTGGAATTATAGGCATAAGCCGCTGTGCCTATATATCTTAAAAGTCATATCTTGTATATTAAAAGTCACACACACACATATAGATACATTTCCCATACATATATACATATATATGTGTGTGACTTTTAATATACAAGATATGACTTTTAATGCATATACTATGTATTAAACTTATATACATATATATACACATACATATATACATATAGAAACAGGTGGTCTGACTTTTATGTTTATTGAGGGAAACATGGATTTTTTAAAAAACATTGAGAAACACTGCCTTAAAATCTCACTACACATCTGGACCATCTGTTTCCCTTCTCTTGATCTATCTGTCTTTGAAAAGGATACTATGGATATATTCACGCCAGAAGGAATGAGAGAGAGAACAATACTTTCCAAGGACCATTAGCATCAATCATCAGGTAAGGGTTTTACACATATCATCTCTCAGCTGTTCTTCACAACTATCTGGGGAAGTATTATCAGCGCACTTTATAATTGAGGAGACAGAGATTGCTCTAGAAATGCAATGGGATAGGAGAGCTACCAACTTCCATTTGGCCTGAAAGGCACAAAGATATAAAAAAATACTGACCCTGCTGTTCAGGGTCTTAGCCTCAGAGCACTCCTTGCCCAGGCTGTTCACCATCCTCAGTTGCTCCCAAGCTGAGAGCTGCTTGCCCTCCAGTGCATAGTGTGTGTCGGAAGCCACTGGTTGTCCTGAGGAGTTAAGGTGGCTCTGTCTGTGGCAGCACCTCACTGCAGAGACCTCCAGGCCCAGGACTGAGTGTCTGTTTGGTCTAGAAAACCCGAACTCCCCTAGTCTTCTCTGGCCCTGTAACTTGCAGATAATTAGGATTAATACCACAAATAATAAGAGCTGGGATGTACTGGTGCCTGCCATGACCAGAGCCTGAATCAAGCTCTTTATATTAGGATCCCATTTTCTCCTGCAACAGCCCTGTGAATTTTGCCTGACTTTAAAAAAAAATAGAGATGGGATCTTGCCATGTTGCCCAGGCTGGTCTTGAACTCCTGGGCTCAAACGATCCTCCCACTTTTTGGCCTCCTAAAGTGCTGGGATTACATGCGTGAGGCACAGCACCTGGCCATTACTGCCTTTTTACAGAAGAGTAACTGAGGCTAGCAGCAGCCCAATGTCATGCTGCTGGCAGAAGTATCAGCTTGCTCCTTCTTGTGCTTGGTTTCCAATTCATGTTTTTAGCCATTAGGCCAGCATTTCCCAAAGAATAGGCTACACGGACCAACCTCATCGGAAGCTCATTTTAAATGGGTAGAGCCCTGGGTCACATCTAACACCCGCTGAGCTAGAATCTCTGGAGCTGAAGCTGGAAACCTGAACTTCAATCAGATTTCCCTGGTGATTCTTATGTACATCAAAATTTAAGAACCACTGGAATATGATCGAGGGAAATCTTCCAGCTGCAAATTCATGCTTGCCATGCAGGGGCACCTCATAGCCACTAGATTTAAACTTAAGGATTAGTGTGCAGATACTTGCCACCAGATCACTTTCATAATTGAGGCAGAAATCACCAACCATTGCTGTCATCTCTACAGGGTTTCCTTGGAGTAAAACTGGTCTGTTGCACTGCTGTACTTCATATTTACCACCAGGCGGCATGAGCTCCTAGTAAAGCAACATTCTTGGAACAGCCTCTCAGGCTGAAACAGCCATGCCCAGAGGCAAAAATCAGGCAAACCAGAACCACCCACTGAATACGCATTAGTGAAATTTTAGCTCCTTGTGAGCCACTCAACTGCAGTGCCTAAGCACCCTCCTCCCAGTCATCTATCAGTAATTCATCCCCTGACTCCATGAGATGCCCAGTGACTTAATAAAGGGCTGGGCTTTGCACAGGTGGCTGAGTCCCCTTCATGAGCGTCACACCAATCTCCAGAGGAGACAAAACCAGCAACATACAGGTTTGGCAGCCTTCTGAATCCTCTTCTCTCCTCTAACAATAGCAAACCAGACTCTCAAAGGAGGGGAACATCCTTCTATGACTATAAAATTTTCCTATGACAGGCTTTTGCAACTCTGGAGGACAGCATGGGTTTCTAATGACATTAATTCACATCATGCTGCCATTACTGTGAGCAGATGTGTGGGAAGAGGCATTATTTACTTAAAAATAATCCTCTGTTGTCTTGGGAGGCCGAGGCAGACAGATCACCTGAGGTCAGGAGTTCAAGACCAGCCTGGCCAACATGGTGAAACCCCATCTCTACTAAAAATACATAATTAGCCAAGCGTGGTGGCACGCACCTGTAATCCCAGCTACTCAGGCATCTGAGGCAGGAGAATTGCTTGAAACCCAGGGACAGGGGTTGCAGTGAGCCAAGATCGCATCATTGTACTCCAATCTGGGCAAAAAGGAGTGGAACTCCGCCTCAAAATAATAATAATAATAATAATAATAATAATCCTCTGTTGTTAATGTGGTATCATTTGTGTAGCTAGGAAATTCTCTTTAGAAGAATTTCTAACAGAACAGCTTGGAGAAGAACGTCTGACTGTAGTTAGGGAGGAGGCTGTCTGGACCAACACACACTTGCAGGCAACCAGAAGCCATTGCTGCAGCGCAGCTCAGTTTATTCAGAAAGAGACAGCCAAAAAAAAAAAAAAAAAAGAGAGAGGGAGAGAAAATGGGGCAGCCTGAGATAGGGTTCTTCCTTTTCAGAGTATGAAGTAATGTTTATTCCTGGGAGAGCAGAGTCAACTTAAGTAATGTCTGAAGAGCACTATGAGCTAGGACAGAGAGCAGTGTCAAGGAAATAGAACTAGGCAAGGTTCTGCCTGGATGGAACCTGCAGCCAAGTGAGGAAGATGGGCACTAAATAAGCAGTTGGGTACATTGTCAGGGGTTCAAAAGAAGAATTATATGGGGTACTGGCTTTTATAGCCATGGGCTCTAACTTGAGCCAGGAGCTCAGGAGAGGCTGCCTCCCTGAGAAGATAGTGCTTAAGCAGAAGCTTAAAGGGTAAGAATTGAGTAGACAAAAAAAAGGGCTGGGGGCTAGAAGGGGTTAAGGTTTGGGAAGGGGAAGTAGGACCTGCATGGGATGTGTTCCAAGCAGAGGCCCAGAGATGTAAAAGTGCTGCATACCTGGGAAAAAGAGAACCCCAAAGAACTGGACCACACACACAAGTGTGACCATGACTTCACTACAATTTTCCAAAGTAATATTCATAACATTTTTTCTATGAAAAAATCAGACACCAATTTCAAGCAATGGAAGCAATGTTGCATGAGAAGTATGGCATCTCTGGACCATCTGCTTTTCCTGAGCATTTCACCTTTCAGGTTAAATTATTGCTTTTCCTGAGCATTTCACCTTTCAGGTTAAATTATTCATCTCACATCTGGGAAATGAACATGCAAACATTGCCACCTCTCAGTCTAATTTACTCATGGAGGCTGTAGCTCTCCCAGAATGTCCTCCTTAGAGCAATTTCTAGCCCCTTCTTGGCTAAAGGGAATAAAAATGATTACTATTTGTCTGGGTTTGAAACAATGCTATCCTCAAGGAAAACTGATGATGGAACAGGCTTCCGTATCGTGAGGTTAATGACAGTTTTCCAGAGGCCTAAAATTCAGGGGTCCTTAAGCAGATTTCCTTATCCTTGGAGAAAAGTATGTGGTATTGCAGACACACCACATCAAAAGGTGTTCTTTTTATACTCTTCTTAGTTCTTGCCTTCTGTTTCTTTCCCTGCACATTTAGTTTTGAGCCTTAGTCCTCTGTCCCTTCATTGAATCAATTATTTTTCTTCCTTTAAGACCTCTCTGCATATGCCATAACCTGAAATTCCCTACAAAATGACCTAAAATCATGTAACTTCAGGCCTTCCTTTAAAAAAAAAAATGACATCACCTACTCAGGCAAAAATATATTAAACAAGTAAATTCTATTTTTCAAATTTAACATGAGCTCTTGCTCTTAAGACTTAAAAAAGTCCGTGATTTCAGAGAGATGCCTCAACATAGTATTCTTCCTTATGAATGCTTAAACCACTGACTTTGATGGAAAGCAAGAGTAGTATTCTAAAGTGCCATGACTAGTGCCTTTTGTTGGTTGCTCTCTCTTTGTATTTCTAATCCTACCCAGCTGAAACAGCTGACCTGACTATCCTTGATAAAAATAAATTCTCCCTCTAAACATGGTGCTAGTGACCTTGATAAAGAGTCAGGACTGGTGTCCCACAACACTAAGAGAGTGATTGGAGTGAGTGAATTCTGGAGGCCTCAGACATCTTCATCATCAACTTTATTTTACTACTGAAATTTGACTTTAGAGGAATTAAGCTGATCACATATTGCTCTGTCAAAAGGAGAATGAGATGCTACTTTACATTTACTAGGATGGCTGTAATAGGATGTAGAGAAATCAGATACTTTATATGTTGCTGTTCGGAATATAACATGGTACAGCTGTTGTGAAAAACAGTTTGGAGGTCTCTCAAAAACCTAAGCCTAGAGTTACCGATAACCCTGCAATTCCACTTCTAGGTGTAGATCCAAAAGAATTGAAACAGGTACTCAAACAAATGCATGTACATGCATGTTTATAGCACTACTACTCACAATAACCAAAAGGAAATGTCTTTTTGGTTATTGTGCCCATTAATGGATGAATAAACAAAATGTCATCAATATCCATCAATGGATGTCCATCAATGTCCATCAACGGATGAATAAACAAAATGTGGTATATACATAAATTTATATACATAATTCATCCATAAAGATGAATAAAGGACTGATACATACTACAACATGGATAAACCTTCAAAATGATACGTTAAGTGAAAGAAGCCAGACACAACAGCTCACATATTGTACAATTCTACTTGTATGAAATATCCAAAATAGATAGATCCATATAGAATGCAGATTGACAGTTGCTAGGAGCTGGGGGGGAGAGGGAGGGAAGGGGAGCAACTGCTTAGTGGGTGATATGGTTTGGCTGTGTCCCCACCCAAATCTCATCTTGAATTGTAGCTCCCATAATTCCCACATGTTGTGGGAGGGACCCAATGGGAGATAATTGAATCATGGGGGTGGTTCCCCCATATTGTTCTCGTGGTAGTAAGTCTCACGAGACCTGATGCTTTATAAGGGGAAACCGCTTTCACTTGGCTCTCATTCTCTCTTTTCTGCTGCCCTGTAAAACACGCCTTTCGTCTTCCATCATGATTGTGAGACCTCCCCAGCCAAGTGGAACTGTGAGTCCATTAAACCTCTTTTTCTTTATAAATTACCCAGTCTCAGGTATGTCTTTATCAGCAGGGTGAAAACAGACTAGTACAGTGGACAAGGGATTTTACTCTGGAGTGACAGAAATCTTTTGGAACTAGATAGGGACGGTGGTTGCACAACACTGAATGTGCTAAATGCCACTAAATTGTTCATATTAAAATGGTTAATTTTAAGTTATGTGAATTGAGCTTCAATAAGTTATTTTTTAAAAATAAAAAACATACTGCCTTGGAAAGAACCTTGATAAGTACAAAATTTTATTGCTGAAGACAGCCTGCTGAATCAGTTGATTCACATGCCTTATTTCTGTAGGTAAGGAAATTAAATTTCCTAAAAGTGATATAATTTGCCCATGGTCTTTCCCAAAGTCAAGAGCACAGCAAATGTCTTCTAGTTGCTTGCTTTGCTTTCCTTGTCAGCCTTTATATTAGAAGGAAACATAATTGAGCTTTTTTTCTTTTTAAATCAATCTGTAAATGCCTTTTTCTCTTGGAAAAAGTGCAAAGGAGAATTTTTAAACCTCCTCTTCAGGCTCAAGAATATGAATTCACCATGCATTCCATTGGTACATCTGGGACCCAGTGAGACAATGAATAATTCATGTAAACAACTGTAATTTTTCACTGCCATCTCTTGTTTACCTGATAGAGATGCACGGGTAATGCTCCTTGATTGAGAAAAAAAAATCTAATTATCTCCATTTGGTTTTAGAATGTCTTGTCGTCCAGATAATGTCAAGGCATTTACTTCAAACAAACAAATTAAATAAAGCCAGTCTGCAATGCTCTTAATCTACCTTCCCTCCCCCAGAGTCCTTCTCTGTTTTTTCCTCTCTTGTCTTCTGCATCTCCTATCCCCATCCTGAAGTCCAGCAAGCTGTAGTGACAGACCTTAAGAGTATCACAGGCTTCCTTTCTAAATAATATTCCCTTCCCTGGATTTTCTTTCCCTTTTCCATTTCTCTGTCTGGTTATTCAAACATATACAGGAATATGGATTTTACTAAGTCCTTTAATTATAAAAACATTACAAAATTAAAAATATTATAATTATATAGCAACATTACTAATATGAAAATATATGGCTTTAATTAAGAAATGTTTTTTTGTCAAACAAGTTTGTTCTTCCATGAGGTAAAATTTAATACCTAGTATTATTTAATCAACTGGCAATTCCTTTTGAAAAATATCCTTTTAATGAGTAATTTCTTAAATCTATTTGAAGGCATCTTCACACCAGATCAAAGGTAATATAATAAAAGCTATTCACATTCTCATCAGAATGGTACTTTTTAATATAGTAACTATGGGATCTCAGAAGATGTACAGCAGAGCCTCCATATGGCACTGAAAAAAGACAAGAAACTAGCTAGTTGGCACTCGCATAGTTACGGATCAAATATTGGTGCCCCCGCCATTAATATGCTGAAACCTCATCCTCGTTGCAATGGTATTTGGAGGTGGGGTCGTTGGGCGTTGGGAGATAATTAGGTCATGAAGGTAGGGTCAGGCCCTCGTGATAGTATTTGTGTCCTTATAAGCAGAGACATGAGAGATGATTTCTCTCTCCCCCATTTGAGGGTAGGGCAAGAAGGTAGCCATCTGCAAATAAGGAAGGGAGTCCTCATCAAGAACTGGACTATGCTGGCACCCAGATATCAAATTCCAGCCACCAGAACTGGGTGACAGAAATACAGTGTTGTTTACGTCACCCAGTTTATGGTATTTTTGTTGTAGCAGTCCAAATGAAGGCCTGCCTTTTGATAGTTTAAAAAACAACAACGTCTTCTTGGACATCAGTATGCTAAATCTCTAAGAGCCACTAAGTCATGTTTTCATCAGCTCTCCCCGAGATAATATATTCTGGCCTTATGAAGAACAAAAGAGTAGAAAAGAAAACAAATTTTAAGAAATTTGTTGCAAAGAGCAGAAAAGCTCTTTGCATCTTAGTTGTCTTCCCAGTAAATAACAAGCCAAATTCTTTTAAGAACAAGGAGTTGAAGGTTTACCTTTCTTTCTTAATCATTGCCAAATGCATGACATTTCTCACGCATTCTTTTCACAGAAGATATTCTCTTGCCAGATAATTCTGCAAGACATGCCAGAAGAGAAACATCTGCTTTCCACATTTAGGACCTCCTCAGCTGGTTTTGCAACAGAAACCTCAACCTAAGGTCAAATCATTGTAATAACACAGTCTCCAACACAGTTGATGTGGTTGCAATGTGAAATGAATTGGGAGAAAACAGAAGTGAACCAGTGTGGCGCCAAATAAAATGTCAAATTTCCACAAGCAAAATCCTACTAAAAAGAAACTAGGAACAATTTGAGTAGCTGAGAATAATCCACAAACATTCTGCTTTGCTCTTCTACAACTGACAAGGCCTATGGAAAGAATGATTTCTGCCCTGCATGACAACAAAGAAAGCCATTTCCAATTCAGTCTGTAAGAGAAAAGGAAACAAACAACTTCAGCAAATATTTACCGGATACTACATTAGTTTGTGAGGGCTGCCAAACAGAATACCACAGACCAGATGGCTTAAACAACAGAAAATTATTTTCTCACAGTTCCGGAGGCTGGAAGTCTGAGATCTAGGTTTTGGCAGGGATGGTTTCTTCTGAGATCTCTCTCTCTTTGGCTTGCAGATGGCAGTCTTCTTTCTGTTTTCCCATGGTCTTCCTTCTGTGTATGTCTGTCCTAATCTCTAATTATAAGGACACAACTCATACTGGATTAGTGCCCACTCTACTAGCCTCATTTTAACTTAATTATTTGTGTAAAGGCCCTATCTCCAAACTCAGTCATATTCTGAGGTATTGGGGGGTTAAGGACCTCAACACATGAATTTGGGGGACACAATTCAGCCTATAACAAATACACATGAGGTGTCAGGCACTGTGTGCAAACTGACTAGCACTGAAAATCAAAGGAAGTTCTTAATTGTTTCTTTTTTTTCTACAGAAACACAAATCTGAAAAGAAATGAAGAACCATCTTTGCCTTAGGATGTGGCAAATGGAGCTTTGGAACTGATTCATATTCAAAAGAAGGATCTCCTGCCCTAGCAACACAGCAAGACCTCATTTCTACAAAATAGAAAAAAAATAGCCAGGTGTGGTGGTGAGTGCCTGTAGTCCCAGCTACTCGGGAGGCTGAGATGGGAGGATCGCTTGAGCCTACGAGATCAAGGCTGCGGTGACCCATGATTATGCCATTACACTCCAGCCTGGGCAACAGTGTGAGACCTTGTCTCAAAAAAAGAGAAGGTGCTGTCTGCCTGTTGTGAAAGAGACCTTCCATAGATAGTTTATCCAATGAACACTGGTGCTCATGCACATGTGTGTGTAGTGGCGTCTCCAGGTTGGTTAACAGGGTCTCTGCCTCACGACCAGTCCATTACTTAGTGATGTGGTCACATTTCTGTTGGTTCTTTCAGACACAGCCCCAGGGCCTCATTCTGCCAGCCAAAGTCAGGCTCTGGTTTGCCGCCTCCAACAGTCCCACTCTGTGAGATCCTGGTTAATTTGGTTTGTACTTGGCAAAAAAAAAAAAAAAAAAAAAAAAAAAAAAACCTACAAAAAAGTGCCAAGAATGTCTCCTTTATTTAGGAAATACAATATACTTTCTTAGTGAAAATGAGTTCTCTTCTAGTTTGCTATTCAGAAGGGACATAATGGTTTTGCATACTCATAGCTTCTCTTTCTAGTCTTTCTGGAAATCTAAGATGCTAAATGTTCTTGGCCCTCAACTGAGTCCTTTCTATCTTTAGGCACCATTCAATGTCCATAGCTTTTTCATCGGACAACTCTCATTTTACATCCTCTTAGTGTATTACTATAATTTTTAATTCTATACAAAGGATCTCACTCATTTCTCAACTATCCATTGTCCCAACAATTATTTTTACTTGAATAAAGAATATAACATTTTCCTTTGATCAAGCATATCAGAATATCATGGTGTGTTTAAGTGTTAAGACACTGAGGACAGCACCACTCAGGAAAAAGTGAGGTGTCTATGGAGCCAGCCTTGCAGAGTTAATCTGCTCTTAACTAGTGGTGGCCATAGACTAAAGTCTCCATGCACAAGGCAAGCCAAGCTCTACTTCTGAAGTCTGATACCTGAGCTCTCCATAGCTAGAAGATTCCATGAAACAGAAACAAGCCACTGACTTGCCCATAGTAGGTGGTTCTGTATAAATGAGAACAGGAACAGAATTCAGGTGACATGATACCAGAATTGAGAACTAGACAAGCAGGGAGGGTTGATGCATTAGTCCATTCTCATGCTACTATAAAGAACTGACCAAGGCTGAGCAATTTCTAAAGGAAAGAGGTTTAATTGACTCACAGTTCTGCATTGCTGGGGAGGCCTCAAGAAACTTAAAATCATTGCGGAAAGGGAAGCAAAACACGTCCTTCTTCACATAATGGCAGGAAGAAGTGCTGAGCAAAAGGGAAAAAGCCCCCTATGAAACCATCAGATATCCTGAGAACTCACTCACTATCATGAGAACAGCATGGAGGTAACCACCCCAATGATTCAATTACCTCCCACCAGGTCCCTCCTACTATGATTTAAGATGAGATTTGGGTGGGGACACAGCCAAACCATATCAGATGTTAACCCATCCAAGCACAGAGTACAGGAAATACCACTCTGGAATATGGAAATCATTGAACTAAGCAGTGGAAGCTAGTACATGGAAACATGAGTTGTTTAGGCAACTCAGATACAATGTCATGAGGAAAGCAAAGGCAGGGAGAGCTGTGGCTGGCACAGAAGACATTGGGAAGACAGAAGGTTTCATAGGATTAGTTTGGCCCTGTTGAAAAGTTGTGGAGATCCAGGGAGAGATGGCTGGAGAAGGAAACTTAAACGTTGAAAAGAAAAAAGAAGAAAGCTAGACTAGAGTAATGTAAGGCCCTAAAGGATGAAAAGGGAGACTAAGAAGTGATCACAAGTTTCTCGATCAAGGAAAGGGCTGTCAGCCCAGGATTTCCCAATGTGCCTGGGAGCAATGTCTTCCAAGATAAAGATTTCACCTGCAGAACTAGTCTTCAGTGTCCCAAAGGACCTATTCTCAAATAACTCAACAATATCACTTCCATTCTGCCCTCTGTGTATCTGCAGCTAAGATTTCTCCACACTGTTTCCATCCTCAGGTTTTTCCTACCAATTCAACTTGCTAACAGAGTTAGCAAGTTGACTAAGAATTATCAGTTATTTCTTATGTCTCATTTCTTCTTCCTATCACCCCTGTTCATTTTCACAGTAACAGGTTTTGTACTTTTATCTGAGTCTTTTTTTAAAAAAAAAATCCTCTCTCAAGCTTCTCTACTTTTAGTCTTCTAAATCAAATTAATGAATTGTCTGCTATCCCAGGCCCTCTGACACCTGATCCCTGAATAGAAGTGTTGTTCTTGTATCTTACACAATGATTCACTGCAGAGATATCTCTCTGAGCCTGGGATTTCATGACACTGAAAACACAGAACAAGCTTTATCAATGGCAGCCATATTTCATCTACACATGGAAGCTGTTCACCTACCTCAGGGGAAGGTTTCAGAAACAGATGGTCTGCTTTGGAGACTATATACACTCAGAATTTCTTATTTGGAATTACATTTTACATGAATAAAAAATATAGCAAATCATCTAAAGCTCTAAAAATGTATGCAGAGACCTCTATAAATACAAGACATGTTGTTTGCAGCACAATTTATTATCTGGCCATAGTATTTGGGTACATTATCAGGTACCGATTTAACACCATGTAACCTCTCTTGACACAGAGCAACCCAAAAAGAAAACTTTAAAATGTGCAACAGCAATAAATATCAAGCTTTGTCATCTAAAATGTATAAATATAAAATATCAGTCATTTCTGGAAACATCTTAAGAAAATCCGGCAACCACATGTCCATGAGTAGGTGTCTGATGTTGACGGTGCTTACATTCAGAACATATCACCTCAGATCCAACACAATTATTTTTATGTCTTTTACCAACACATGTTTGCATATCTAGGAAAGAAAAAATTGGTTTTACCATATGTTTGATTTCACCATAATGTTTACCATATGATTTTCTTTAGGGAGGAAGTATAGATTTCCTAATTTTAATTTGTTCCTGATTTTTAAAATATTTCCAATCAGAACAAATACAATCACATTTATTCATTTTCAACAACAACAAAAATATTTACAGGGGTTGCCAAATAATTTTCATTTTAAGTAAATTCTAACGTCAATATAATGTTCTCTGATGTTATAGCCACAGAACCTCCAAGAAAATTAGGAAAAAAAAAGGCGTAGTCAAATGTTTCTTTTGGACTATGCAAAGGTAATCAAGAAGTATGATCATAGTTTCCATCAATTGCTATGAAAAAACTAATTTGGCCATATCAAGCAGAAAGAATTCATGCAACATTTTAAATGTCATTTTCTATGATAATTGTTTACTTATTTGGACTCTGAAGAAAACTTTTAAATATCATACATATACATAAGCGGAAAGGTAACTTTGTGCACCATTAATTCTGCTACAGAAATACTGATGTTTCCTTGTAAATACAATTATTTTGAGAATAAATCAGAAATTAAGTATACAGATAGATTAATTTTCTGAGATAAAACTCCAAACTAAGCAGTACAGTATTTTATCTTATATTAGACTGCTACTATTTATTTAAAAACAGATTGGGGGGGCAGTGAACAAGAAATACCTGGAAAAATAACTAATATGATGTACTCACACTGAACAGCCTGGGCTCCTTGGTGTGTGGATGAAAGCCCTTTTTTTTACAAGCAGAAACCTCAAGCATGCCAGCATTGGTGAGCCTGAAGATGCCAGTGCTAAATTTCAGAGCAAAAACAAGATAGAAAAATTAAGGATCATTTGGGCATTCCAGATGCTTTATTTGAACAGCACACACATACATATTCCTCAGATGGGATTGAGAAATCACAAACTAGGAATTCCATAGTGATTTTTTTTTTAAACCAATGACTGGTCCAGAGGAGAGAAACCCAGGAGGAGGCAATGCTGCTGCTAAGAGCCTGCAGGACCGTTAAGGGGACAAGGCAAATAAGCTATCGTGTGTGACCCCAGAGGAAAGGCCAAAGCCCCACTAGAGAGTCTCATGAGAGGAAATTACAAGTGGCAGATATTTCGAATCTTCTAATTATGTTAATACAGATTATAGCAATAGCAAATATGTATTGAGTACCTGCTGTGGTACCAGGCACTATGCTGAGCACTGTACATAAACTATTATCTAATTTCATCTTTACATCCATCCCCGATGGGCAGGTATCAGGGATGAAGAGGCAGAGACCCACAGTGGTCAAGTATCCTGCCTAACACACCACTTGAGGGGTGGAGCCAGGATTTCAATATGTTTTTTTGATTCCCATGCTCATAACTACTCTACAATAATCATTGTTCCCCAAAGCTAGAAAGGTTTTTTTCTCAGCTAAGGCAAGAACATTTCTTATGGTAGAACATAATACAGTAGAAATAAGTCCTAAAAAGGCTAACTGGGATAGCATCTTTCTTAAATGTTATTCACTTCAAAGTCACGCTAACTGAAGAAAGAAAATCAGTAATTCTGCCACTGAAAGGACCTTAAACTGCAGAGCTATAGGTCTATGGCAGCTGACTACTACCCATCTCTTTTTCCCGAGGGCGTTGTGTGCTTGCCAATCCAAGTACCACAACCTGGTGTCTGGACACACAGGAACCCAGCAGCCCTGGACAAAGCCTTCTTTGGTCTCCCCTGAAGAGTTACACTTACTCTTTATGCTTTGGTGAGCAAACAATGGCAATGGCCTCTGGCAACATGAGTTGATAGGAACAGTGAGTGTGAAGATCAACGCTGGATAAAAATGCAGTTTGAGTGGGATGTGTCTATAAATAGAAAATAAGATAATCTTACTAGGATAGCTGTCTTAGCCAAGGCCATAGGCTATTTTAATAGAAAACTCTGTTTTTTTTTAGTTTTTACCATCATTAATCAAATAAGGATTTTTAAAAAGGTTTTGCTGACATAATCCTTCCCTTTATGCCAACTATTTGCTATTTTGGAATAACTACAATTCTGAGAAGAGGCTCCTAGAAGTGTTAGTGTACTTTCTTCTTTTTGGGAAAGAAAGAGCTGGAAATTAATTTGCTAGGGGCTTTAAATAGATTCTCATATAATTATCACAACTCATTTATGAGATACTTATTTTATTATCTCAATTTTACATACAAGGATCCCAAAACTAAGGGAGGTTACATAATGTGCCTGTGGTCACACGGCTGGTAAGGAGCAGAGCTGTGATTGGAAACCCTGGGCACAAGATACATATATACAACATTATGAACATTAAAAGAAAGTTTTCACTAAATAGACCACATGCTGCTGTGTATCCTTTTGTGGATTGTCATTTCCTATAAATGGGAGAATGGGAGACTCCAAGTTGTTGAAGGTATTTGGGACTAATCTCGCATAGCAACTAAATACATGGGGAGAAAAAAAGGGGGATTATAAATTACAAGAAATCTGCCAAGTTTCTGGCTATATACAAATGTGTTTATGCATGGCCAATCGGAGGTTCATATTTGAATATAAAAAATAAATGCACACCTAGTTATTTTAGAAATTCATATTAAACCCTAATTACTCTTAGAAAAAAGAATGTGACTATTTTAATCATGAAACAAAGATTCTTGGCACCACTCTCTAGGTCCTGACTCCATTACTCACTAGCTATATGACGCTGAAGATTTCTTAACCTTCTCTTGCCCATTTCATCATCTGTAAAATTGGGATAATATTTTCTGCATGGGATTGTTATGAAGATCAAATAGGACAGTCCATTAAAATTCCTGGAACAGTGCTTAGCGCATAGAAATAAAAGTCATTAGCTGTTGTTATTGCTAGTGTTATATTAAATGTATTTATTAACTAAAAGGCACAGAGCCATAGTAGTAGCTAAATGCCTTTACACAAAACTATATTCTATTAAAGAAATGTAAGATTTTAAAACTATTTTTAGGCCAGGCATACCGGCTCATGCCTGTAATCCCAACACTTTGGGTGGCCAAGGTGAGAGGATCAGTTGAGCCCAAGAGTTCAAGACCAGCCTGGACAATATAGGTAGACTCCATCTCTCCAAAACAAACAAAAAAAAAGTTTTTTTAATTAGCTAGGCATGGTGGCATGTGCCTGTAGTCTCAACTACTTGAGGGGGCTGAGGTGAGAGGAGCGCTTGAGCCAGGGAGGTTGAGGCTGCAGTGAGCTGTGATCACTCTACTGCACTCCAGCCTGGACAACAGAGCAAGATCCTGTCTTGAAAAAAAAAAAGGCAAGACAACGTTTTTTTTCGGCTTTAATAGAATGAAGGTAAAATCAGATGATGATTTACAGAAAGGTACATGTTCTGCAAGGAAAAAATAACACTTGGCATATAAAAACTTAGATCAACAAAGGAATGGAAATTATCCTAACTTTTAAAATGCAAATCTTCAGTAGGGGGTATGAGTGGGAGTATCTGACAGCCTGTTATCTTACAAGGAATACCTTCTCTTTGTAAAATAGAGCCGTCTATGTCTTCGTGAGAAATTAAAAATTGTTCAAAGAAACCACAGTGCTGTGGAGGCAGCAAGCAGGTTATTAAACAGACAAATCACTCTGCTTGTCAAGTTATTTGAACACAGAATGCACACCACATGACCTGAGTCCTTCATTTCTACCAAAAGGAATTATGTCCATTCCAATTAGGACAGTTTTCCCATGGGAGAATGAGGCTCCCATTCCCTCACTCTACAGAAATGAAAATGATGATGATGATGATAACAATGGCAGCAGATGCCATTTATTGCAACTGTATAATGTGAACTAATCACTTTTCATGAGTCATATCATTGAATTCTCACAGCAACAAGATAAGTACTATTATAATCCCCATTTTGCAGATGAGGAAACTGAGGTAAGCAGGAAAGTGAGTAACTTGCTGATGCTCATAAAACTAGTTAAACCAAAATGTCTAAAGTCAAATACATGTCTGTCTGACTATGTTTCAGACCTTTTATTCCTATGACTAATTTGTATTTGAAAAAAGCCAGCTCTGGAATTTGTTGCTATTATTATACTTAATAAAAACCGTCATAAAAAGTCATTACAATCACTTAGGTTTAGAAATGTAACATTTTTGTATTTTCATCCAACCACAATAATTTGATACGGTGAAATGAGTTTAACAAAAAGTCCTAAAATTCAAGAATTATGCTAAACTTATTAAACAACTTACCTTCATAATTGCATGCATTATGTCCACGGTAGGTCATAAGGGGAAAATTTTTGTTTCTAATTTGGAAAATGTTTTGTTAGATAAACTAACATTGACTTGTCAGTGTAAATGCATAATTTAATGGACTGTCATTCTTGCTAGAATTTGTTTTGCTTTAAAATGCATTCTTGTTACAGAAATCATGTTACGCTAAATAAGGCATTCTTTTTATAGAAATCATGTTAAGCTAAATAATATAGCAATTTCCAGGCAAAGTGTAATGCATATTACTCACTGTTAAGTAACGCAAATAGACATATGAAGAGTTTTACAAACTCTTCATTATAAATAATTTCTTGCATTTGACAGGCAGTTTATACTTTTCAAAGAGCTTTCACACCTGGTATCTTGTTTCCTGTTCACAGAAATCCAGTGAGGAGAGAAGGTATTCATTAGCCTCACTCAGTCAATGAGGAAATCTGGAAATGAGGCTAGAAGTCCTAACTGATAGCACATAGTAATTTACAGGAAGAGTTGGGACTAAAGTCTCCTGTACCCTCCAGAACTGCATAATACCAAATGCTTAGGAAATGTGTGTGTGTGTGTGTGTATGTGTGTGTGTGTGTGTGTGTGTGCATGCTGCTCCTCCCCAGTGCTTCTCTATAAAGCAAGTAAAATACAAAATGATCATGTATCATTCCTCAAGGGCACTTGGAGGTCCCCAGAATGTGTCCTGGAAATTTTCTTGGCCAGTATCCCATCTCAGTGGGATGGCTTATCCTAACATGCTATGGTTTGAATGGTGGGGTTTCCACCAATATTCACGATGAAACTTAATCCTCAATGCAACAGTATTAAGAAGTGTGGTCTTTGGGAGGTGATGAATCATGAGGGCTCCACTCTAGTGAATGGTATTAAGACCCTTGTGAAAGGGCTCAAGGTTGAAGGGAGTGCTCTCTTGCCCTTCTGCCTTCCACCCTGTGAGGACACAGCAACAAGGTGCCATGGGTGTGTAGTGAAGGCTGCTCATGGAAGCTGAGAGCAGCCCTCACTAGACATCAATGCTGGTGCCTTGATCTTGGACTTTCCAGTCTCCAAGACCAGACAAAATAAATTTCTGTTCTTTTTAAATTATCCTGTATTAGGCATTTTGTTATAGCAGCAAAAACACACCAAGACATTATCCTAGATCCAGCTTATGTAAGACTGAATGGAAAAAACTTCCCTCAGCTGGATTGCACTATGGCTAGAAAGGATAGATTATTATCACCAATTATAACAGTTACAATTTTCTGAGTCCCTCAAAAAATGTGCTATGAAACTCACCAATAGTATCTCATTTAATATGAAACATCCTGTGAAGTCAATTATTATGATCTCCACTTTATGGATGATAAAACTGATGCTCGGATTGCTTAATAACTTGCCAATGCTCCTATAGTGAATTCTTACCAGAGCCAAGATTTAACCTCATGTCTACTTGATTTGCTCCTATGATGGCCTGGTGGATGTTGGAATTCAATGTTTTGGGCCCTATCCTCTTGCCTTACTATGTGGCTGTTTGTACAGTGATCCCATACATCGTTTGCCTGTCTGAGGGGTGTCAGGGAGTGTGGCTGATATATACAAACACATGTTTAAAAGAAACACTTTCAGATATTTTCTTAAAATAATCTAATTTAGACCCACACTAACAGTTGTCTAGCCAAATCAGTTAACAATTTGGCTAAGCCTTCACTAGGCTATGTAAAATCATCTAAAACAAATCACTGATTTCCAAATGTTACTCGCTTTCTTTCTATGTCTTTTAACTTCAGATGATACAAAAAAGCATAAGATACACGTTCTCCAAATCCAGATTTGACAGGTTTAGGCACAGTCTAACACTGAAAAATATGCTATAATATGATGACCTTTATTTTTTTAATATCTGTTATTCTTTTCTCTTTGCTTGAGAACCACTACTTAAATGACAACCTTTATTACATTTGAAAAAATTAAAAAGAAGAAGCTATTTAAATGAAGCTAAACTTTTCTTCAAGGAGGAAAATAGCATGCCACACACACAAAAAAACTGAAACCCAAAAGGTCAAACGTACATGGATCCATCCTAGAGTGAGGAGATCATGTTGATCCTGAACATTGAATAATTCCTCTACATTCTCCATGTCACAATAGTCTGGTCCCGCAGACTGCTTTGGCACAATTACATGGGTAATAGTAAATTCATTATGTGTCTAAAAAACAATAGCAGAAAGAATGACATGCATCTCACAGAAAAAAAAAAAATAACTGAACAGGAAATGAAATGTTTAAGACTAAAGAGTCCCCCAGCAGGGGGGTGTGTCCAGGTACAGGGACCACTTACATCATCCCTCCCTGTACCTGGACACACCACCCTTTCCAATTCAAAAACAAAGTCCCAACAGTAAAAATGGATTCTTTGCCAAAACTTTGAGAATCAGTTGTTTGTAGCTTGAAACCCAGTTTCACAATAGAAAACATAACAGAAATAGGAACTTGCATTCCAGGCTGGTCTGTGGAAGTTTAGTTAATAAATGATGTCTTGATATATCTATAATGGAAAAACTGAACAAAACAAAGACAGATTTATTTGGAGGGGGAGACACTAGTTAAATAATTTTGTGGTGTTACCAAAAGGCATTTCTTAGGGTTGTGAAGGTTGATGGTTTTGTTTCTGTTTTACTAATTATATTTAATGTCACTTCAAGACTTAAGACATTCTTCGAATGCTGGGAGGACTTACTAGGATCTTCTGTAATTAAGATAATGTTTTGGATTTGCAATCAGATAAAGAGAAAGGAAAAAACAAATTACCCCCCTTAGGCAAAAGATAAGAGTTGAGAGGAAGAGGGTTGTGAAGTGCCACGGGATCCTCAAGGAACAGATGTTTGTGCAATGAGAGGCTATCTTCCCCCAGGCAGGCTGGCCTTTCTCCCATCCAGAGGACCATCCTCTCTCTAGCCTTAGGGCTTTCCTGCACACTATGCACTGCTCCTTTGCCCTGATTTCAACTCTTCCCTCCATCCAACCTCCTCCTTTATGTATTCTTCAGGCCTAGCTCAAACATCACTTCTCAGGGAAACCCTTCTTGACCCCTCAGACAAGGTTAGATTTCCCAGTTACAAACTCCCATGATGCCCTACACTTGCACAGACAGCACTTAGCCCCACTTATTATTAGTCATCTGTCTGGGTCTTCACAGCATCGTAAGCATCGTGAGGCAGGGACCGTGGCTGTTGCAGGATACCAAATGCTAATAACCAGCACAGTGCCTGGCACATTTAGATATTCGGTAAATGTTTGTCTGACAATGGAGTGAACGAATCAGTCAACCAATCTGAATACAACACGATGTGGGGGTGAATGCTTCAATAGCACACTGTCCCCTTAAGTGCAACAGAGGCGACTATAGATGCCCATTCTCCTGTGCTGCCACCAATGGCTTCCTATCTCTTGGAGGGAAAGTGATGACAAAACACTGGAATGCAGCAGGAGATTGTGTACTGAATACAATGTATTATTATTCAATAAAGCAGAGGTTCCTAAGCTAAATTTTGAGAACTGAAAATATACCTGGACCCAGATATATAAACTGGTACTCAAAACAGACTATGAAAGGACACGTCCAAAGAAACATTATCTCTGTTGTAGATAGGAAATTGAATGCATCTCCTCTCTTTCATCCCTTCTATTATGACATTGTCTTTCATCACATACTTATGATGACATCTTCCATAATTAAGTATGTCCTGTGCTTATAGGCTTTTGTTGAAACTACTGCCTTAAACTAAAGGAAACTACAAAATCCTAGTTTTATTCCACGTGTATCTGAAAAAGAACAGCAAGATAATACATGCCACAGATGAAGTTAATTATATGAATGTATGTGAAACTAACAATTACAATGAAAATTTGATTTGGCAACCAGATAGATTTGGAAATCTGAAGACCTATATTTCGTACCATTTTTCTAATCAAAGATTTAATTTATAGGTTGATTCTTTAGGACAAGTTTTTATAGTGTCTCTGAAATTTTACAATCTATTTTCTAAAAGGATCATTCCATTAGTAATGACAATAGTTTTATAAAGTTAATCTGTGTAACGTTAATTTCATAATATTGATAACTCTTAGCATGGTTTTATTCTGTTCCACTTATCAGAAGAAATCTAGTACTATTAAAAGTATCCTATGCAGATATATATATATATATATTTATATAAAAAGATCATACCAGTTTTCCACAGAGTATTCCACAGGTTTCTATTCCTCTCACTGTATTAGATTCTGCCAGTTGCAGAAATTTGTGGCAAAGATCTTCTGGCAAAACTACACATCGCAGTCCTTCAACCACTAAATCTAAGAAACAAAAAAGGGAGAAAAGGCTAAAAAACAAACTATATGTCCCATCTTTCAAAATTGTTATTGGCAAACAGTTGCAGTTGGACATAAATTTCAAAAATAAAAGTATCAGGTGTTCCACTTTCCATATTTTATTTTAAAACTCTTAGAAGTAAACATTAACTAGAAGTAAAATTAAATTATGTATATAAATTATTTTATAAGCAAAATCAGAAGGTACAAGCACTTTTACATGTTTGTATCTTGGGTTAACTATTTACATGTTATGTTATCTTTAGGCATGAAGCAAATATAGGGTTAAATGCATAGGCTGCATAGAATGCATCTCATATCCTATAAGACATAGATAAATATTGTGTTTATCATGTTACTTCTATCTTCATGAAAGTTGGTGATCAGTAAGTAAAAGCACAACGTTTTGGTAAACAATCAGCAGTAAAGTAACTTTCAAAATGGTTGCCTATTATCGCTCATTTCAAATAAATGGGAACACAAATTCTATCTGACAGTGTCTGCGAAGAAGAATTCTGTGTTTTGGAAACTTGCCAGCACTGATCTGGCAGTACTGAGCAGCACTAATTCTTGCGGAAACACACGGTCCATTTGGAGGTTAATTATCTATGTGTATGAGATTCTCTCAGTCCAAGGATGATGCTAAACATATTGAGTATAAACATTTATTGCTGAGCAAAGGTCTAGATAAACAATTTTCTCACACCTTTTCTCCCCAGAAAGATGGATGTATTTAAGATGTATGTATTTCTTAGTTAAAATACATAGAAGACAAAAGTACTTGAAATTCTTCTCATTTAAAACCTCTGTCAATGACAAAATACTTCCCATTTATTATAGAGTCTCTGCTCTATCGGGGGCATCATATTTCCTGAATTTTAAGATTATATATAGTAAAAGCTAGAGAGTATTGAAAGGTTAATTCTTTCATTCATACCATATTATGCAGGGGTCCTACTACAATTAATAATGAAATGAGAAGGACCCTCCCAGATGCTATAGAAATATGGTTCCATCCGATGAGGCTCAGTGTCTCACATGGGTGCATTTCATCACTTACTCTGAACAGCACTTAGAGTAGCAGCTGGCGTTAAGGCCCTGTTTACAGGAGGAGAGTGGCTAGCATAATTGGTTGCATCACTTTTATTAGGTTGATCTGCAAATACATTCAGCAAGGAATTGTTCTGGTGTGTGGAAAAGCAGGACAAAGCGCTCCCATCAATCTGCTCTGACAGCCCTGAGGTTTGCTGACTTCGCATTTGACCTCGGGCTAACTCTTGCTTCTTGAGTTGATCTTCGAAAAACAGAAACTGCTCCGATTCTAGCTGCTGCTGGCGCATCTGAGCAATCCGCTTCCTTTCTGCCTCTATCAATCTCTGATGCTCCAATTTTTTGAGAATTTCAGCTTTATATTTGTTCTAAAAAGTGTGGCAGCCAGAAGAGAAGGTTAGTTTCCAAGGAGAAACATTGAACTGGAATTAGACATTTTCAGTCTTCAAGCAGACAGAGAAAATGCTAGATACTGTGATATGCCCACAGGGACACTCATGGAACAGTGAGAGAAATACATAACATCAGGGCAAAAGCCCCTTGATCTGATTAACATAGCAGTTCTAAATCCACTGATATTTTACCAGAGACAGGCCATGACAATCAGGATCCCTTCATTCCCTAATGCTTTTAAATACTGGAAAATCAACGTCAAGGTTGTTTGCTCAGTCAGACCAACAAGACCATATGAAACAAAATATCTCACCCCTACTGCACTTCTAATATAGTGGCCACTAGCCACATGTGGTTATTTGAACTTGATTAAAATTAAACAAAATTAGAAATTCAGTACCTCAGGGACACTAGTCAGTCACATTTAAGTACCCAGAAGCCACATGTGGCTAGTGGATACCATATTGGAAAGTGCCAAACAGAACACTTCCATCATCACAGGAGTTCTATTGAACAGTGCTGCCCTAGAACCTTTCGCATTTGACTCTAGAACTCATACTCTGCTGGAAATTTATGGATAAGAAGGAATCACTAAAAAATGGTTATTAAAATGTGTTCCAACCTTCTCTGTCACCACTAACCCAGAGTTTTGCTAAAAAGGAGGAGTCCCAAGCTCTCCAGTTCTAACAAAATATCCAGGCTTATTAGGTCAGATAATATGAAATATTAATGAGCCTTTCAGGTGATTTTGATAGAAACTAGATTTGGGAGCTACTGTAAGATGGCGGTAGCATGGGGGACACAGCTTATAGTGGCACATTCAGGTGCATACAAATCATCCTGGGGCTAATTGCAGTTGCAAATCCTGATTCAGCAGGTCTGGGGTGGGGCCTGAGATTCTGCGTGTCTAACAAGCTTCCAAATGATGCTAATGCTGGTGAAGCAAGGGCTCACAGGCATTGCTGTTTATCTCTCCTAGGCTCAGTCCTGCTATTCTAAACCCACAGAGATTCCCACATGGGTCACCACTGTAGGCTATGAAGTGACTGGTATCAAAGGCAAAACATGCAACAGCTGCAGAGCCTGTTCCTCCCAGGAAGATCATGAAGAGGAAGATCATACACATTGCTGACCGTGGAAAGGAGACTTGAACTGGGCTTTCGTCTCCCTTGCTGTTGTTGCTTTGTCTTACCCTCCAAGAAAATTTCTATCTTTCATATTTCAAGTCACATTATTAATATACACACTTGAGGGACATTTCCAATTTCACCATTCCCTCTACCACTTCGTTAAAACTCTCCACTCAAGCCAGCCTTCCACCTATGCCCATAGAAAGTCAAAAAGCTCAATGAGCATTCTCAGAGATGATGAGATTGAACTGAAGTGAGAGTCAGTGAAGGTGGTAACCCCTAAAGCAAATAAAACACAAACAAAAAAGCAAAATAACATCTATAATGATGCTATGTTGAACGTGAGTATCCCATACATTCACTGGCCAATTTCTTCTTCCAATGCCTTTCTGCCTCTCAGACATTATCATAATGTTCACTCTTTATTAATAACAATCCAGAAGCCACCACTTTTGGGTGATATGATTACATTTCAACCACAAGGTTAGCTGTTATTCTATCTCAATGCAATACTGACTGTAACATTCTAAGAATCAAATTCACATTTCTAAGGCCTACATCATTAGGCACATCAGAAACCATATACTGCTCTCCCTACCTCCTACTGGCTGTTCATCTGGCAAAAGAGCAGCCATCTGGCTCAAGGTTATCTGGCTCAAGAGTTAATCAAAAAGTTCTACTTAAATCGCTGCAGGAAATCTGTTTTCTAACACATTGCTTTGTTAGATATTGTAGGGAAATAGAAATACCACATTGTTGGTGAAACTGCTTAACCTGGATATCAGCATAAATTTTTTATTGGTTCCATATCACTGCATCTTTAATTTTTAATTTAAATGCACAAAACATTTGAAAAACTCATCACATAAAAATGAAATTCAAAAAATACTTGTACATAAAATAGTCATGAAATAAATGTACCAACTGAACTTACTTTGCTTTGCAAATATTCTTGGTATTCTACGTTATATTTCTTTAAAAGGTCGTTTTTCAATTCATCTGTCCTTGGGAATGCAATCTCCTTCAGTTTCTTTTAAAAATATATATACATATTGATTAGTGGGATTTTCAATACACTCTTTCAGATCATCAGGTGAGAAAGAAAAACAGCTGGTAGGTATACTGCAAATAAAGTCATGAGTAACCAAAGATGATGGCAGAAAAATAAATCTCTTTTTTATGGGTCCAAAATATAACTTTCCAGCAGGAAAGAAACACTATTATCCCTTTTGTAAGACCTTTATTGGCCCCACTGATTGGATAAGCATTTTGTTATAGCCCAATGCTATAAAATGTAAATAGCTAGAACTTTGTGGCTACCTTTGTGGTACCCCATTTTTAGGCAGTGAGTTTGAGATCAATGACTTGTTCTATAGTACATAAATCATGTAGCATCAGAATTAGAAGGGATGTGAGAGAATATATGGTGGATAGGGATTTCCAGACATGCTAGACTGTAAAAAGAATAGCTGAGGCACTTTTTATAAAAATACAGACCCCCCCAAGCCTAATCTGGATCTACTGAATTAACACCTGTAGAGAAGGGGTCTGGGAATCTGGATCTCAAACAGCTTCCTCAGAGATCGTTAATGGCAGGAAAATCTGGGAATTCTTATATAGTCCAACTACCTCTTCTTTTTTAGAGTTGAGGATACAAAGGCCTGGAGAGACTGAAAGTCCTGTTCGGTATTATGCAACCAGCTAGCGGCCCATTTAGGACTGGAACTCAAGTCTCCTGACTCTAGCTCTTTCACCAAATTTCTATTCTCTTAATCCTTTGTCATTCATTTATGTATTTATTCATATATCTATTCAATAAGCATAAACAAGGGAAATGTATATGGTTTTGGAGAATTTTTCTCCTACAAAAAAAATAAGCATAACCCTAAGTTATAGTACATGAGTCACCGTGACAGCCTGGTACCTTTGGTTTCCAAACAGAACTCTCTGAGGTTGAATGAACAAGAGAACTGAGGGGAAATGTTACACAAAGACATGATAATAAATGATACTTCAGGTAAGTGACTGTAGACATTAAAAAAGTTGGCTGGGTGCGGTGGCTCACACCTGTAATCCTAACACTTTGGGAGGCAGAGGCAGGTGGATCACTTGAGGTCAGGAGTTCAAGACCAGCCTGGCCAACATGGTGAAACCCCATCTCTATTAAAAATACAAAAATTAGCTGGGCATGGTGGCAGGTGCCTGTAATCCCAGCTACTCAGGAAGCTGAGGCAGAGAATTGCTTGAACCCAGGAGGCGGGGGTTGCAGTGAGCCGAGATTGCGCCACTTCACTCCAGCCTAGGTGACAGAGCAAGACTCTGACTCTAAATAAATAAATAAATAAATAATGTAGATGACCATTTGACAAAATCTGCATTTTGCTTATGCATCCTCAGGTCTGAAAATACTCATAGGAAAGCCTTTATTTCATTATTTGGTAAAGTGTTTTTCAAAAATTATTTAAAATTTCATGCTACAATTGGCTTTGTGTACATGATTTTATCTTCCTTCATATAAGACCAACACAAACTATTAAAGACAAATAAATGGGAAACATTGTAAATGTTTATTTAAAAGAATATATTCACAGCTAGACATAACCAAAATTATAGATATAGCAATTATTGGTGATAAATCATTAAAAAATTGATGATAAATTGCAACACTCTTTTTCCTTTATAGTATTTTAGTCTACCACCTCCTGCTTCCCCCACAACACTTTCTAATCTATAATTCCAGTCCTATAAGATGTAAATAGCTAGAACTTTGTGGCTGCCTTAATAACTAACACTAATTTTCAAACAGTTATTGAGTTCAGGGCTGTATAAAATAATCAAAAGCAGCCAAAATGACCATCTGAAAGAAGTTCGCAGAAATACACAACATTCTCTTAACCTCTGGGAGAGATTATTGTAAAATAATTCCTTCCTCACACTATTAGGTAACGTATTTCTTTCTTTTCCCCCAGCATCAATTAGACAAACCACACTGGCTCAGTGATGATCATTAAATGTCTAAGAAAAAATCGAAACATCATAGTTAATGGAATGAATTTCTTGCGCTCAAACTCTCAAGAGAAAGAGAAAGGGGAGGAAGGGGAAGGGTGAATCAATAATGGATACTTATGGAGCATTTGATTCCACAGTGGAGAAGAAAACCCACAATACCTTCATAATATCCTGCTTTTCAGGTACTGCACATTGCTGGTAATCTCGATGGTTAGGAAGCTTTTCTACAAATAAGCTAAGGAAGAGAAAACATGTCCTTAGCATTATGTGACAGCAAAAGTTCAATAATGCTTTCTAATAAGGGAATGAGGATCCTTTTTCAAAAATGACATGTTTAATAACTTATTCATTTACCTTCAGTCTTGCCATCTGCCTTTTCACTAAAGTCTGGCATGAGTATTATTTTGGTATTAATGGTTAAGCTCAACCAACTAAGCACCAAAGCTAACAAGATTAAGGTCAGGGTACTTTCCAAACAGTTCAAGTCACTTTGATCTTTCTCAGGTACTGCATGCTTAGCCCCAAAAGAGCACCACCTTACTTTAGCATACTGCTGGCAACAGAGAGAATCACATAAAAATATCAGAGCATGGAAAGAGTGATGTAAATCCCTTCTCACTCTTGAAAAAAACTCAAACGACCACTGATGAATCAGCAGCGCCATCGTGTATCAAAAAACTCTTAACCGAAAACTCATAACTAAGAAAAGTGACAACCAGAATCCCTAGTGAATTAGGAGTTGCTAATTAGGAATTCATTATTTTTCGTCACCGTTTGAGGAACAAGAGACAGCAGCAGTGAAAGGAAATTCCTACAGCAAACCAGGTGCATCGCTTCCAGGTAAAGTGAAGAAACTGCTACCACAAAGGCAGGGAATTCTCTTTTTTATGCACTGATGTATCCTCAGCCTGAAGAATAGCATCCAGCTCATAATAAGTGCTCAATAAATATTTGCAAAATGAATGAATAACCCTTCCTTGATAAATCATAATGAGCTGTAAATGCTATTTCTGATCAAACAATATGCCTTATACTTACTGATTCTGTAAATCAAATCATACACACATATACTCATCATTTAATTTCATCTGATCACAAGGTTATAGGTTAGACAGAAATGTTAGCATAATTCCCATTTTAAATGAGAAAATTAAGGCTTAAAGAAGCTTTAAAAGTTGTTAGCTATCTAAGCCTTTATAAATAGAATAAATTCAAAGACATTTAGAGCAGAGGGGACCTCAGAGATTTTCTCCCATAAATCTTTCATTTGTAGATGAGGAACTAAGGCCCAGGAAGAATAAGTGAATTACAAATTATCATACAACTAATAATACAAGAGAATTCAAATATTTTGATTACACAGTAATTCTGAGATATAGGGGCCTTTTCCTTTTCACCAGGCTCACAATTCCATAGGAACATATGCAAGATCAGAGCAGAAGGTGAAAAAGAAATATTATTAATTGGTAACTTATTCAGAAACAAAAATTATTGGAAAAGTTTGGCTATCAATGGTGGAGAATAACTTCTAATTTCATATTTATTACTTAACTTTCTAAAAACAAGTGATTTTCCCAGGTAGGGTGAAGGTTGCCAACCATTCTCTAAATTTTCAAGTTCAGTAACTTGAATAAAATGCAGATCTCAATTTTTGCATACCATGTAAACTGCCTTTAATTTTGCCCTCGGTAGAATCATGGAAGGCAATTTTTAAAATATTGTATCTTTCAACTTCTTAAATGTTCTCAGGCTAAGCCCCTGACTAAGCTAGTGATATTATATGTGAAATAAGCCAGGCACAGAAACACAAATACTGCATGATCTCACTTACAATGTAGAAGGAATCTAAAATAGTTGAATTCACAGGGGGGCAGAGAGTAGTCTGGTAGCTATCAGAGTTCCAGCAGTTGAGGATGGGGGTGAGATGTTGGTCAAAGGATACAAAATTTCAGTTAGACAGGAGGAATAAGTTCAGGAGGTCCAGTGTATATGATGATTATACTTAATAACAATGTATTGCATAATTATGCAGCTTGGGTCTGGCACAGTAGCTCATGCCTATAATCCCAGGACTTTGGGAGGTCAAAGCAGGAGGATCACTTGCATCCAGGAGTTGGAGATCAGCCTGGGCAACATAGTAAGATCCCATCTCTACAAAAATAAAAAATTAGCTGAGCATGGTGACACATGCCTGTAGTCCCAGCTACTCGGGAGGCTGAGGTGGGAGGATCACTTGAGCCAGGGAGGTCGAGGCTGCAGTGAGCTATGATTGTGCCACTGCACTCAGCCTGTGCAACAGGGAGACCCTGTCTCAATAAAAGGTCTGTGAGGTAATAAATATGTTAATTGTCTTGACTTGGTCATTCCACAATATAAGCATATATGTATCAAAACATGTTGCATACCACAAATACATATAATTTTTATTTGTCAACTTAAATAAAATTAATAAATAATAAGCTAGCAAAAGTAATCGGCATGTGACTTTCAATTAAAAAAAAGAAGGTTCATCTTAGAAGATATAATTATTGATGACAGGACATCCTTTCAACTAGTAAGTTACCAGATTTATAGTAAGGAAAGACGAAGTCCCATTTCTGTTAACTCTTAAACTAGGATATGTCACTAACAAATATCTGTCTAATAGGAAACATGATACTCTGACATGGCTGTTTTGATGTAGCCACTTTTACTCAACATTTTGACAGCTCTTTTGTACATAGTGTTCTTAATAGCCAAATAAAATGTTTTTTAAAAAGAAATAATAAGTGCTATATGAAACTTGAATGAGTTTCCTGAACCTATCCCTGAACCTGAATCAGATCTTTCCTGTGTCTCCCAACTTGTCCCCTAGACTCAACCCACCAAATCAAATTTTTTAAATGTTGATGGCATGTTCTAGGTGCTATAAATGGAGCTGCACTGTAGTTCCTGCTCTCATAAAGCTTCCATTTCTGTCGGGGAAAATCGCATGAAAAAATAAATTATATTTAAGAAGAGTGAAACATGTATTAAATAGATTACTATGCTGGCCTTGGAAAGGAAATCTGATAACCCTGAGCCTCCTGCCCTCCCTGACCCTAAGCCTCAGAGATGGTGTTGGGATGCCTGTGAGTACATTAGTTGGTAATTTAAAAACTTGAACATTTAATGCTCCTAGAGACTGTGCAATTGGTCTGAATATGAAAACATTACTGATACCCAAACTGCCACATCAAAATAACTATGTAAATATTTTTCCAATTTTCTCACTTCAGAGGCCTTTAAAACACTTACGTTATAAATTTATTATAAAGAACAAAGGCATTTTCCAAATTTCCTTCTTCCAAATACACAGACGCCATCCTCTCCATCTCTACTCCAGACCTAAAGTAACGTCGTGGAGTGATGTCTTCACTGATGGTGATATTACAACCAAGCTTGCTTAGGGCACGGACTCGCTCTTCTGGGCTTAGGGAAACATCTGTATGGTCAGGCATAGCAGCTAACTTTTTCTGCAAAGCAAAATTTAAATCTCTGATTAACTGTTGATTATAGTAAGAAAAGGATATGACTAATATTATGGACATATGTTCTTTATGAGGAACCTAACACCATTACCTAAGGAAATCTTTTCATAAGTTAATGATATAATCAAAGTAAAGCATTTTTGCTTAAACATGCTTTATACAACAAAAATACATGGTTTATACAACAAAAAGACAAACCTCCAAGGTAAACATACAGTTTTATTGGAGTGGGATCTCACTTTAGGTTTCAGGGTATGCAAATGTTTCAGGTCATTTTAGGTAAAATATCATTGCTCCTCATATCCCTGTGCATGCTTCTATCTGGGATCATCTGAAGCAGGTCATAAGATGAATTCCTGCCATTGTAGGGTTCATGTCAGTCTACTCTGAAGGGTCTCCAAGGAGGTAACTTGGATTCAAGTTACTATAAAGATTCAATTCTATTCCAGAATAAGTGTTGTTTAGTAAGAAATTTTCAGGGCTTCTCTGCATCTTCATTGAGTTAAAAAAAAAACAACCCACAAGTAAGTCCTGGAGAAGCCTTTTCAAGCATAAGAATGCCCCTCCCATTTTTTTTAACATAAAAAGAATCTCAGACCTCCATATAATAGTAAGTACACTGTTAAATTAGTCCTTGACTAAGAAAATAATGATATGTTACTAAGAAATGTCAGTGATAGCAATTTGAATTTTATTAATAAAAACAGCATCTATACACTTTTGGTAAAGCATAGAACATATGCAATTCAGAATAATTATTCAATAAAAAGTCGGTGCTTCAGAAAGGAAATTTTCTCTGTTAAGTGCCACATAGCAAGTATCTTAGGCTCTGCTAGCCATATGGTTTCCATTGCAACTTGAATTCAGCTCTCAGCATGAAAGTCACCATAAACAATATGGATAAAAATGACCCTGGCTGTGTCCCCTAAATGTTTATTTATAAAAGCAAGTGGGTGGTTTGGCCCTTACACCATAGTTTGCTGACCCCTGCTTTAGACCAGCATGTTTCAAAGCATGGTCCATGTACTGGCAGCATCAGCATCAACTGGGAGTTTCTTACAAATGCAAATTCCTAACAGGTCTCACCTCAGACCTATAGTCAGGATCTCTGGAGTTAGGCAGGAGAATCAATGTTTTAATCCATCTTTCCAGAGGTACTTATGCCTGTACAGTTTGAGAAGCAAGGCTTTAGACCAACCCCTTCTACCATTGCTGGATGCTCCCAGAACAGAGTTAGTCTAGAGCAAATTTAGCTTCTCAAGGCCGCCTTGGTCAGTTAAGGGTAGGTTGCAAGTCTGACTACTGTGTGGGTGGAGCACTTCATTCAAGTCTGTAGAAAGCTATAAAAGAAGTCAAGGTAAGCATACTTTTAGTCTGGCCATGAATTACCGAGCCAACCTTCAGGGACAGGGTATAGTGAATTAGATATCTGGAGTTCTTCCAATGCCATCTGGTCTACTTTGGTGGTAATTTTATAGCCAATAGAACCTCAGAGATCTGAAATGATTCTTGGTCCTAAAGGTTTAATATGTAACCAGAGACCCATAAACTTGTTTCTCAAGGCTTCATTAAGTAAGAACCATACCATGTCCCTTGTACATTTTATTACGTGGCTTCCCCACATCAGAGACAGAAATTGGAGTTTCTGAACTTTGAGCCTCGGGCTTCAGTATATAGTCTTTTCAATTGAGATGTCTCAAAAGCTACAGCAATCCATCCACTTTTCCCTAACCACACTCGGCTATAGAACTCAACAGCACCAAAAGAAAATATTGTCATTTGACACAGATAATTGCTTCAATGACATCAGAAAAATGACTAGAAAAAAAATCTATGAAAATCAGAATGTTCTCTAAAGGGGGTTCCAGCCTCTCATATGTATAAAAGTAATGTATTCATATTTTACTACTACTTAGTCCACACTGAGTTATAATTATTTCTGTACAAGTGTATCTGATCCCTTATGAACTCCTTGGGGTTTTAAAAGGGATCATTTTCCATTTATCTCTGTTCCCTAGAATGTAGCATATTCCCTGCCACATAAGTGATGATTAATAGGTATATCAAATAAAAGACAGACGGAAGTGAGAGAAGGAAGCAACAAGAGATTATAATTAGTTTTTTTTCCCTGAAAATGAAAATTAGATTGATTTTTCCTCTTCTGAATGGACCTTCCCAAATTTAAAACTGATTTCAAAGATAAGCTGGAAAATAACCTAAAGTCTTCATCAATCTATAATATTTCATTTGCATGCAGACTTCTTGGATGAAAACACAAATTTTCCAGATAAAAAGCCTTTGTGTTCATTTTTACAGTGACATATACAATAAAATTTTAATTATTGTTATATAATGTTCTAGAAAAACACAGAAGACATCTCATAAGTATGACTCCTTCCTCTGGAGAGGTGGAAATGGGTCAGTCTTTATTAACCATAGTGGAACAACAACATGGGGACAGAAAGTGAAAATGTTTCTGCAATTGTCTACCTTTCCAAATATACTCTGAAGACAACTAATTTTTGTGAATGACTTTCTTGGTCAAGAAAAAACATTAGGGGCCGGGTGCGGTGGCTCACACCTGTAATCCCAGCAATCTGGGAGGCCGAGGTGGGCTGATCACGAGGTCAGGAGATGGAGACCATCTTGGCTAACACGGTGAAACCTGTCTCTACTAAAAATACAAAAAATTAGCTGGGCGTGGTGGCGGCAGCCTATACTCCCAACTACTCAGGAGGCTGAGGCAGGAGAATGGCATGAACCTGGGAGGTGGGGCTTGCAGTGAGCCGAGATTGTGCCATTGGCACTCCAGCCTGAGTGACAGAGCGAGACTCCGCCTCAAAAAAAAAAAGAAAAAACATTAGGTCACAACCTATTTCAGTACAAGAACCAGGCCCTCTCTTTCTTTATGTCCTGGTGCTAGTCTTTGTGCGTACAGGGTATTTAGTATACTGCAGCTCATGGGGCTACTCCTACAAGGTCACCATGAGTGGCTGGGGAGGGTCATCAAGAGGAGGAAAATGGGAATGACAGTTTCCATTTATCGTACCATCCTGGTAGGCTAGGACCATCAAAAATATTGTTTCCAATTGTCATTGAGCAAAAAGTACAAAATCAGGGCCATGGAGATTACATAATGTGTCTATATTCACACTCAGAGACTGATCTAGGACACAGAATAAGCCCATGTGATGTAGCTAGAGAAAGTGTGCACAGTGCTGGGCAGTGAGGGGAAAAGTGAGAAGAACAAGAGCTTCAAGTACAAAGACATTTACACGAGGATCCAAAGCAGTACCTAGGTGTTATGTATGTTTTTCTCAGTTAACGCCATACAAGGTGAGCCTCCAATTCTTATCCATAAAGTAGCTGAGGCACAAAGAGCTTTAAGTAGCTCCTCAGATATCAACTCTGAAATTCTTCTCTCCGGTGTTTTGCCAAAGGACTACACTCCTGGAATCTAGCTAGATAAACTAAAATTTTAGACTTTTGTGGAAAATAAAATTTATTTTTAAGTCTTACAAAGATAGCTTTATTAGTCACTTCCTCAAAGAAGACAACCACACAGATGGATGAAAAACTACAAGTGCTAAACTTCTTAAAGTAATTGTGACTCATTTCACATTTGTATGTTTCTGTTCTTCTTTTTGGGCTTTCCAACCAAATGTTAGATATCAGCTGGTGTGACCTACCAGAGAATTCACAGTAAAAGGCTGATCCATGTTGTCTTATCTGTGAAATGAGGATGTTCACTGTTTCTTCTCAATCACTTCATCTGTTTCAAAAACAAGAAGCAGAACTAAAGTTATTTTTTGAGACCCAAGTTTGAAATCCCAAACCCCAGGGTTATCTCTGCCTCAGACAAACAGGAACAAATTGAAATAACCTATATAACCTGAGTGTTTAGAGAGACTGTTGGAAATCTCTTCCTGAAAATACAAAACTGCAAGTGGTTATAGTTTCCTGAAGCTGATCTTTAAAAGTGAAGGTGTGAAAATAATTCACATTTGACTGACACCCAGTATGAATCTGCTGCGGGATACCTTACTTAGAACTCTATGCAAGGTTATAAAGTAGGTTTGCTTTCTTCAAAGGAATAAAGAAGATAATACTGATTAGAAGCATGGACTGTTAAACTTAGAGCCAGTCTGGATTTAAACTCAACCTTAGAACTATAACAGGCAGAATTCTAAGATAGCTCTGTGATTCCTGCCCCTTGATATCTGTAGGTTTGTGTAATCCTCTCCACTTGAGTGTGTTTAAGACCTGTAGTTGGCTTCTAACCAATAGAAGACAGCAAAGGTCATGGAATATTATTCCCATGAATATGTTGAATCACATGACAAAGATGAAGAGATATTGTAGATATAAGAATCCCCCTAATAATGTTAAGCTAATTAAAAGAAAAATTATCCTGAGTGGTCTGGATCTAATCAGGTAAGACCTTTAAAAGAAGTAGATTCTCTCCTGCTGGCCTTAAAGACTCAGCCACCACAAGTTCCAAAGCTGCAAGGAAATTAATTCTGCCAATGATCATACAAGCTTGGAAGATGACTGCAAGCCTCTGATGAGACTCTAGCCCATGTCAACAAGTCAATTGCTGCCTTGTGAGACCATGAGTAGAGGATCTAGATAAGCTGTGCCTAGACTCCTGAACCAAAAAGCAGCAAGATAATACATGTATATTTAAGCCTTTAATTTCATAAAAATTTGTAAAGCAGCAATAGAAAACAAATATGTTTAGCTGTGTGACTGCAGGGAAGTTATATAGCCTTTCTGTGCATCTACAAAATGGGAGAAACAGTGGTTCCTACATCATGTGGTTGTTCTAGGATCAAATGAGTTAGCACATAAAGTCTTTAGAGTATCAATAGCTCCTAGCATATAGTCAATATTTTATCAATGTTAGCTATTATTAGAATCTTTATTTTATAGTTGAGACAACTGAGGCTCAGAGAAGTCAAGTGAATGTACCCAAGTTTAAATATTAATTCAATAAATATTAGTAATTCCCATCCTTTTTATGCTAGTTTAGGTCAAGCTCTGTATCACCACTTTCCACTTCTAAATTTATTTTGTCCTTTATACCCCATTCATCACTTAGATGACTTTGAACATGGATCTTCTCCTCAGTTCCTCACTTAGGAAACAAGGGGTTAAGATGGATTCCTTTCAGTTATAATATTCAGTGATTCTAGAAATCTCAGAAGTAGATCAATCAACAGCTCCAGTGCTATTTTCTGGCCTAAATCCATGGTGGAGGAACCCTTCAAGAAAAATTACTCTTGTATTCCAGTCTTTCCCCTCCATTGTCTCCAGTAATCCCTGGGGTAAACATTGAGCTCTAAGCCTGCAGGCTAAAAAATGCCCAAGAAAGAAAAAACATGGTTCATCACAGTGTAGTTTAGAAGCTGAGTTAACAATTTTGGCACCACTGAATGTAGGCAATCCCAACTGAGGAATTAATACTTCTCAGTGAGAAGAAATAAACCAGGAAAAAAAGACGTTAAAAGCGTTAAAAAGACAGAGCAAAGGCTTATGGGGAATGTGAAGCCGGGGAGGGAGGGGAACAAGAAAACACTAGTAAGTCATTTATTAGGGCCTTATAAAAGAGTAGAATTGGCCAGACACAGTGATTCACGCCTGTAATCCCAGCACTTTGGGAGGCCGAGGCAGGCGGATCACCTGAGGTCAGGAGTTCAAGACCAGTCTGGGCAACGTGGTGAAACTCCGTCTCTACTGAAAATACAAAAATTAGCCAGGCGTGGTAGTGCACGCCTGTAATCCCAGCTACTAGGGAGGCTGAGGCAGGAGAATTGCTTGAATCCATGGGGCGGAGGATGCAGTGAGTTGAGATGGCACCACTACACTCTAGCCTGGGTGACAGAGCGAGACTCCAGCTCAAAAATAAAATATTTAAAAAGTAGAATTATTTCTTTTGATGATTGCTCAGATCCATAAAGAGAGAGCATAGAATTTAAAAGGTTGAAAATATTAGGATAGCGGTTTTTACATTTTACTGCATCTAAAATCACATAAACCTGAGATCTGTTTAAAATGCAGTCTCCTAAGACCCACCCTAAGGATTCTGAATCCATCGGTTTTAAGCCCACAAGTAGGTATTGTCAGATATGGCCCAGTCATTCCAATACATGAGGTTTCCAAACAATACTTTGAGAGACACTGCATTTCAGAATGAATTAAGCAGGATTCTTAATTGCAGGCAAAGGTCTGACTCTTGAATTCACAGAAGGATAATGAAAAAAAACACAAACTTCTAGGAAGGCCAGAGAAATCAGGTTTGGAAGCTACATATCCAAGAACACTGCCCCAGACTACACAGCAGCATTGGTCTGGTGAAAACACCTCTGCTATCTCTATCACTTGATGAACAGGGGATTCTACAGCTTCTACTACCAACACCAGCAACTCCAGCAACTAGCTGCTGCCCTGGGAACGATGTGCAGCCGCCATGTACTTCTGCATGTCTCTAGTTTCTATTTCAAAGCATGAGATGCAGATGTCTGACTGGCAAAGTCTGGGTCCCATGCCTGCAGCCTGGCTGAAAAGATGGCCGAAAATGTAAATATCTAGCACTTTATCCTCCTGTAGGAGGCAGTGGGATATGCCAAGAGAGGAAAGGTGGATTCAGGGCTGGGTGACCAGAAAACAATGCTAAGTGTGAGCAGAAACAATGAAACAAACATCTCTGTAATGAGCTTCTATATGTATGAAATGTTTAAACATATCTTAAACATCAGAGTTTATTAAATTACTATAGATAAAAACTATTCACTCCCACATATGAATATATTAATAATTCAGAAATAGAAGCCAACTCCCCTCAAATCTAAGATGAAAGAAGTTCACAGACTGGTCAGTCAACTTATTTTTTGAACCATGTATTAGCTGATGGTCCTGTCTTAATTCCTTTATCTTTTTGCCCCCTAGTCCTGGCACTTACAGTTGCATTATAAACAATTGCAAGATCAACATAAACAGGTATGTTTTCTAGTTCAGTGGCTCTCAAAATGTGGTCCAGGTTCCCCACGATCCTGTCAGGGAGTCTGTGAGGTCAATATTACTTTCATAATATTACTAAAGCATTATTTGACTTTTTAAATATCAATCTTTCACAGTTGTATAGTGGAGATTTCCAGAGGGTACAAGAGTTAATGGAATGCTTACTTGCATACTCTTATAAATGTCTGTTTTGATTTTTAATACAGTAAATATAAATAGATATAACTCACATAAACAAAGCTTTTTAGTGTCCTTAGTAATTAAGAGTGTAAAGGGGTTCCAAGACCAATAAAGTCTGAAAACCACGGCTCTAGATCAACAATGCAAATGAATAAACAAAACAAAAACTCACTATGCTACCTCAATCTAATCAGAAATAAAGTGGGCCAGGAGAATCTAAAACAGGAAAAATTAACAGCAAGTACCACTTGCCATTTGTGCTACTGTGGTCTTACTAAAACAATTAGAAAATTTGAACTGAGGGTACAGTAAGAGGTACTTCACCTCATAGTACTTGAGATCCACAGATGCTAACTAATGGGAAGTATTCAGTATCATGCAAGAATAAAATAAATTCCCCCTCCAAAGTGGAGGTCCAAAGTGCTACAAAGCACACGGTGCAAACAGCCTTTGGAGTGAGATAAGCCTGGGTGTTGAGTCTAGGCTCTATCATTTGCTTGCTAAATATCCTTTACTGAGCCCCCTCCAAGGTTTACTTTACTCATTCGGCAGGGCGCTTGTCACAGCCACACTTCGCTGCTTTTAGAGTGGCTTAAAACTAATGGAAAACATTCATCAGAAACGCCCGCTTTAATCTCAGCCTACTCCCTGACCTCTACCTCACATTCTTGTGGCTTGATAACATCTGATCATCTGAACTACAGCCTTGTGATCTGTTTAACCTCTAAGATATCTCTTCAGAGTTCTTGCTTCAGAGCTCTTGCCTTCTTGCTTTTATTGCTAGCCCCTTTTCCTGACCATAACCTCCAAAGACATCATCATTTTTTTTCTTTAATCTGACCTTTTATAGAGGAGTAGGGGAGTGTCTGCTTTCTGTTAATCCGACTCACAAGAATGTGGGGAATCATGGTGTCAGAACCATACATATTCACAATGAGCACATGGAGGCCAACCCCTGTCCCAGAGATTCAGCTAACAAGTAGCTCCCAGAACCAACTGAGCAGTCGACTGTGCCCAGAGGGGATGTGGCCAAAATGCTGTCTCATCCATAAGTGGCCTGGGAGGGGGTAAGTATCCTCTCCAAATTGGTATTTCACAGCTCTGAGCTTGTAACAGTTTATTCTCTACATAACCATAGCAAAATCCTCTTGGCTTTTGTGTCCCTGCAATGTTTCCAAGTCTGAAGTCCCCCATGGAAACATGGAAGAGTCTCAACAATTCTGCCCTTTAAAATCAGCAGCAAACAATGCAAGAATGAACAGAGGAAAATATCTGACCTAGCATGGTGCTTATTTTGTGATTTTTTCAGCCTTAATTTCCTTTTCTTTTCTTTCTTTCTTTTTCTTAAAATAGTGTGTGTGTGTGCGTGCGTGCATGTATGTGTGTGTTTGTGTGTGTGTGGCAAAGTTCAGAATCCTGACCCATTTTCATCCACAGAGAAATATTTTCCAGAATTCAGAAAGCAGATGATTACCAGGCAGTGAACGGTCTCCTAAGAGACTCAGCATACAGTAAACAGCCAGCGAGACCATCACCCAAATGTGCCATTTTCTCCCAGGCACTTCTTTTGACTTGAGTGCCCTAGTGACCTGGATAAGTAGGTGTGGCCCATTGGCAGTTAAGAGAGGACAGAGCACCTTATACCACCTCCAGCAGTCTCATTTCTAATTGGCCAAACCAACAGCCACTGGGTTAGTGGTCATGTTTTCCAGGAAGAACATGGTGCAATTTACTCAGTTGGAGGTAGACAAAGAAAATTATTGTAACTCAGCCTGTAGGCTGCAATGACCTAATCTGATTTAGATAAAGAGAGGTAAAGGGTCATTCCCATGTCTTAAATGACAGAGACACAAAGAAGGATCTCCTGAGTCACAGTCTTACAGATTGGGCCCTACTTCAGGAAAAATAAATAAATCTAGGCCCACCCTTCATGTCCCTTTTGAAGGATTTTAAAAATTCAGACATCAAAAGCAAAGATTACATTGATTTGTTTTTACACTTATCTTCTATAATATCTGCAATCAGAAATATGCTGTGACATAGATGATAAATTATCTTTACTAAAATATTGATAAGATAAAAACGAAATGATCATAATATTAGAAATAGCTTTTATTGGATTTTTTCCCTATATTTGTAAGTACTATATATTATCATTTACTAGGTGCCAGGTGCTTGTCTGTTACTTCTAGAGGTATATTCCACATTAAATATACCAGTCACAACAGAATGGTTTATATTAGATCAATGAGCAAGAATGTAGTTGTTACAGGAAAGATGATTAAACAAACCACTCCTGATGCATGTGTTAAATTACCTTGAGGTAGATCTAGGCTACTGTGAGTGCAAGAAAGTCACATACTGGGCCATAAAATAATTATTTTGCATAGTGTAATACAAACTTTTTATCCAGCCACCAAGATGAAGTGGTTCGGTGCCCTTAGCACGAAGAGCTCAGGTTTGGGGGCCATATACTACTTTAGGAGGGGCCAGTTTCTATCACTAGTTGGGAGTGCTACAGCAGCTTATTTAACCTTTTTGTGCACCTTATCTTCATCTATTAAATAGGCACAACAATAGCTTTCCAGAAGAATTCAACTAAAGCTTAAATGAGGTAATAAAGTTCCATTATAGTTCCCAGCTTGCAGGAAGAAACTCAAAGAAAATCAGTTCTTTCTCACAGCAAATGTTGGAGAGGTGAGGTTAATGACCTCTGCTAAAAGTTGACTTCTATTACAGATATCAGATGGTCGGTTGATGTGTAACTACTTGCTTCTTTGCAATGAGCTTTTGACAGACAGTTATCTATCCCCTAGCCACCACTACTTCTTCCTCACCAGCAGGGCCCAGTCCCACTAGAGATAGTCACTTTCTCAGTCTCCCTTGTAGTCAGGACTTGGCTGGTTGGCAAGTAACCAAATATTGGACAATGAGACCTGAGGGGAAATCTGTTGGGAGGATTCTGTGAGAAATTTTCATCTCTAATACAAAGAGACATCCTAGGGAATATATGCCTTTTCATCAGCTGAACATGTGACTTCACATAAGTTTTAAAAGGCAGCAGCCATTTTGCAACCTAGAAGGGTCAAGTCCAAGGACAGCCAGTGTCTGGAGGATGGCAGAACCCAAGGGTGGAATGAGCCTGGCTCCTTGCTCACATGGCTGAGCTGCTGATCTTACCCTAAAACCGTTCTCTTCTAAATTGTTATTATATAAGATTTAAAATGCCATTACAAAAGGCACTCTTAGGATTCTGTAATATGCTCCCTAATTAGCATAGGATTCCTCTGGAAATATAAGAAAATCTTTAGCTATATGAATCCCGTGACAAAAGAGGTGATTCTGAATAGTAAAATAGTAAATAATAATCATAAAATATTATGAGATTTAAATATTTTTGAAGGAAACAGTTCTAAGATATATTATTTACTCCTTAACTTAAAATAGAAACATTAACCCTTTCTTCATAATTCAACATTAACAATGCTTCCCTCCATTTCTAATTTGCTCCGTTTAATCTGTCATTCATTTAGAAAAAAATCACTTAAAAGGCAACTTATTTACTAAACTTCTTGAATTCGGTCTTTTTCCTCCTTTAATCTATTTTCTCTCATTGATAAAAATTATTTGAGATTATTTACAGAATGAAAGTATAGACTAGGTGTGCATCAGGAGAGATCTTCTGTGAGTGAACCACCTGCTGATTACAGTGAATGTGCTACATGATTTCTAATTTTGCTGCTCAAAATGCCTTTTATCTTGTTTTTTCTAGACTGCCTTCTAGGTAAGAGTGAGCTGAATTCTGGGCAGGCAAGGTACTATGTCGCCTTCAATAGAAAAAGATAGCCAAAAAAAAAACCTGTATAAAACAATAGGTACCATTAGCAGAATGCTTTCGTTCCCTGGCTAACTGGATGCATGAACACACATGATCTCAGTTAGCCTTCTCCAATAGGAGGTAGTTGAGCCTTGGGATTAGACATGCAGTCTCCAGGGTTAGAACATCTGAATTCAAATTCTGGCTCCAGGAACCACTAACAGCAGAACTGCAGCTTCCCAAACTGCAAAGGAGGTTGATAATGAATAGGGGTACTGAGAAGGTAAAGTGAGATAATGCTTGTAAAACATATAGCACAATGCTTGGTGCCAGGAAACACTCAAATGATTACGACCATGATTTCCATTTTACAGATAAGAAAACTAAAGCCTAGAAGAGATAAGTAATTCAAGCAAATGACAGAGCAGGGACTCTAAGTGCACAGGAGTTCAGGGCTTATACTCACAGTCACACTGCAACACTAACGACTTGCCTCTCATAATAATCAGGAAAATCCAAGAGAAGGTCACATCCTTGGGCCTTGGACAAGAATGAAAAAATTTACTGTGGAAATGAAGATTTCAGTTCAGCATTACAACTATCTGATTCATTATCTCCTCCCTGCCAAAGAAATAAAAGGACATTCATTCCCTTCACATTTTTTTGTTGGAGAGGAAATTTCACTCTTGTTGCCCAGGCTGGAGTGCAATGGTGCAATCTCAGCTCACTGCAACCTCCGCTTCCTAGGTTCAAGCGATTCTCCTCTTTCAGCTTCCTAAGTAGCTGGGATTACAGGCATGCACTACCATGCCTGGCTAATTTTGTATTTTTAGTAGAGACGGGGTTTCACTATGTTGGCCAGGCTGGTCTCGAACTCCTGACCTCAGGTGATCCGCCCGCCTCGGCCTCCCAAAGTACTGGGATTACAGGTGTGAGCCACCGTGCCCAGCTCCCTTCACTTTTTTCATCGGCAGAATGATTCAGTGTTTGTGGACTGACTACATGGTATATGTAGTTAAGAAATTCAAATCCATAATTATTCTATCTAGACACAGTTCAATTCAAAATATTTGCTGGTTTTTAATATAAATTCTACATTTTTGTGCTATATCAAAGGCATTTCATATGCTCATCAATGTGCTAATTTTAGATTCTTTTCTAAATGTGATGATTCAATTAATATGCATTATAAAACACTTGGCAAATGAATTTGAGGTGCTGGAGAGAGATTCATATTTGTACACAGATATTTTTTCACCACAAATTCATATGAACTTGCTAATTTGCTCTCCTCCTGTTAAAATACTAAACATTCCTGGAAATAATGCATTTCTAAAGATAAGCTACCCATAAGGCACTAAACTTTAATGTACCTTTTAATATACTTCCTTTTTTATTGGAATTTTGCTTTTAAGAAAATACTATCCAAAAGATACTTAGTTCAATGAAGTATAATGAGTCACAAATAAATGTTTGAAATAGCATCATTTTCCTGCCTGCCAGTTGCCTGAAAGCTCAGAAATGTAGTTAGTCCTTGGGCATTATTAATCAATTTTATTTAATTTTCATAACTTTCTTAAGGACAGTAGTTCTACAAAATGGACTGAGTCCAGCACTATTATTCAAAAGCAAAAGAGGGCCATCCTGAAGTACTTGTCATCCACTGCTTCTCCAGTGTTCTCCAACCACAAGAATCTTAACTGTTTAACATGTCACAGCAGAGGCTGTATTCATACATTTGGTTTTGCACTGGACAATCTCTTCAATGCAGTAGGCAGAAACAGAAAAAAGTTTCCTTCTTAACTTTCCCTGGCAATCCATTTTAAAGAGTTTTCTTGAAGAGCTCCTTATTCTGGCAAAGTTGTTAGCAAGTGGTCATCTGCTGTCCAAATTTGCTCACCATTCATCCCCTTCCTACCTTCCTACCCTAGAGCTGACATCCCCCTGATTTGGATGCCATGTTCCCTCTGGGAGTGGTTCCTGGATAACTTGCCTGCATTACAATGACTTGGTGGAGGAGGGGTGTGCTGGCCACACACACACACACACACACACACGCACACGCACACACACAGACACATACACAAACCCCACAGATTTCTAGGCCCCACTGAGTCAAAATTTCTGGGAAGGGTGCCCCAGGGATCTCCAGCCCAGGATGTTTTTATGCACATTAAAACTTGAGACTCACTGCATTAAACAGTTACAAACCCCCACTAAGCACCTGGCCCTGATCAGCTGAACTTTCCCTATTTAAAATCAACTCCTGCCTTGGCCTCTCTGAAGTGGAGGTGTTTCCTTTCTCCTCCCTCACCCTGCATCTCAAATATTAATATTTCATCTTTTTTTCTTGATATATCTTTATTCTATAAGACACCTTTTTTTTTCATGGCTTCAGCTTAATTTGAGCTTTAGCATTGTACCTTCAAATGTCCTCCATCCATTTCCACCAGGATACCCAACTGTTATTTTTCATTCAATACAATCCAAGGCTAAATGGATCTTTCCTGTAAAAACTGATAGCTCCAAATAAATTTATTTATTCATTCATTTATTCAATGTTACTTATAAAGCCCCTACTTTGTGCTTTTATGGACCTTACATTCTGCTAAGGACCAGGAATGGGGCAGAGAGGTGTAAAAATAATAAACAATTATCTACACAATTATCTAATAAAGATTGTGGTGACTGTGAGAAAGATGAAATACAGAAAACAATGAGAGTTATGCATTTTTTTGGCAAAAAAATACCTTATAAGTGATGGTGTATCCTCCATGATGTATCAGGAGACATATGTTATTGATTTGTTCAATTATTAATGATGTTAATCGTGATATTTGTTTAAGTTATATCGGTCAGGTTTCTCCACGATACTATTTTTCTCTTTATAATTGAAAAGTATCTTGTAGGGAAACTATGCAAATATACCATTGCCCACTAATTTTAGCATTTGAAGATTTTTTTCCCTGAGACAATTATTGTGGTGTTTGAAAGTGGCCATTTTTCTATTTCTATTTTTCCTTCTATAATTATTAGTTCAGCTGACATTCTTGCTTGAAAGCTGTTTAATTTTTACATGGAATTTTTAAAATTTAAGCTTTCAAGTGGACCTATTTTCTTTATGGTATCTAGGTTTCTCAACATTCTTTAAAAGGTCTTCAAACTTACTCATCATAAACAATTTTAAAATATGTCTACTGATCTTTTCTTCTGGTACTTCTGTGGTTAGTCATTTTTGGATAAATACATTTGACCTGTGTGGAATTTATTTTTTGTAAGGAGTGAAAGAAGAATATGGTCCTTTCTTGACCGCTAGGCAGAATGGCCTTTTTCCTTCTGCCTCAATTATAACTCGGAATTGACTCCAGTTCCATGAAATATACTTAACTTACTTAATTCCCAACTCTTCCCAACAAAGTGATCTGCCCAAACGAGGCACTTAGTACATATTTATTAAACACACATACTCTGGAAGCGATGGATAAAGTTACAGAGAATAGAGGAATTGGTAGCCCAGAGAGGAAGCAAGTATGCAACACTGGAATGAGGAAACCCTTGTCCAAACTGAAGAGCAGTGAAAGAAATGGAGAAGGACAAACAGTTATTGGGAAAGATTCTGAGGAAAAACCATAGAACTTGGAAGCTAAGTGGCTATAATGAGATACAGAAGCATAAATAAGCAAATATATTGTAAATGTTGGCATCTAAAAGAATTGGAGATGGTGATGCTTCTGACTTCACTATCAGAGGTGAAGAATTGTCTCTTTCATCTCCATGGATGGTACCAACATCCAATCACTTACACAAATATCTGGCAAACGCTGATATTAGCAATCCTGCACCTACCCCTTCCCTTAACCCCACATCCAATCTATCACCTGCATGTGCAGATTCAGATTCACCCTCCAAAACATCTCTCAAAACTGCAGGTTTTCACCGTCTTTGCGGGGAGGCTCCTTAATGTACACCCCACCCTTTTCTCTGCCTGCATTGCTAGAACTGCCTCCTAGTTGTTGTATTTGTTTCTATCTTGCTCCCCTTTGATTAATTCTACCTGGTGAAGAATCTACCTGTAGTGATCTTTTAAAAACCTGATTCAGATATTGCCATTCCTTTGCTTAAAGCCCTTGAATGATGTTCTATTGCTGTTAATATCCTATAACCTTAATAAGTCCCACAAAGCTGGGTCTGACCAGACTGCCTCCTTAGAGCCTTCTTTCACACCACCTCCTCCACTGGCTTCTTTCAGTTGCTTAGATGCACTATGCAAAGTCAATGCAAAGGCACCCCATCCTCAGTTCATACTTCCACTTTCTACCCATCTTTCTGGTGTTAGCTTAAGCATCTCTTTTTCAGGCAAGTTATTTTTGACCATCATCAGACTAGGTCACTCTCTTGATTACATACTCATGAAGAAACATCAAATAAACCCAAATCAAGGGATTTTCTAGGAAACAATCAGCCAATGCTCTTAAAAAGTGTCAAGATCATGAAAGACAGAAAGACTTAGGAACTATTGCAGATTAAAAGAGACTAAGGAGGCATAACAAATGAATTCAATGTATGATCCCAGAAAGGATCCTTGCCCAGAAGGACTTCGGTGAAATTTGAATAAGATCTGTAGATTAGACAATAGTATTGTGTCAGTGTTAATTTACTGATTTTGATGACTACTGTGGTTTTGCAAGGTGTTAATATTTGAGGAATCAGGGTAAAGGTTGTATAAAAACTTTGTGTACTGTTTCCACAATCTTTTGAAAGTCTAAAATTATTTTAAAATAAAATATTCTGTAAATGCTTGAATAGTACTTTTAAAAATCTTTTCAACAAGTAAAAGAATAAAAAAGTTTGCACCACTGACAGCTATAATATTTATTATCTGTAAACTATAGGAAACATTTGCATAACAGTAAGAAAAAGAGTAAAAATGGGCAAGTGACATGAGCAAGTAATTAAGAGAAATATAAACAGTTAAGTCACAAGAAATAAACATCTAAATTCACTAGTAATTAAGAAACTGAATTTAAGCCAGGTATTTAATGTATTTGATTGGTAAAATGTATATGATTGGTCCAACTCAATATGGATGAGGATTGAAAAAAATGTCAGTTTTTAAAATAATATGCATTCCTGTTGACTAAGCAATTCCAATTTTAAGATCTCCCCATAGATTTCCTTGACCATTTAATATATACACACACACTGCAGCATGGTTTTAAAATAAATAGCCATCAAAAGAGGAATACTTAAAATAAAGAATCTCTATAGCATATGAAACTGTTAGAAAGGACTTACATCTATTTGTACTGAACCAGGATGTCATCCAAGTTAGAGCATTAAGTGAAAACAGCTAGCTGTGGAATAACATATAAAATATAGCTCCATCCTTGTAATATGAATACAAATGTATTCATTAAGTATACTGGAATTTTTTAAGAAACAAGTCTGGAACAACATTTACTGAATTTTTCTCAGCTGTTCTCTCAAGGGTGGGATCATGAGGGACTTTCACTTTTTATTTATTCATTGCTGTACAATTTGTTATAAGTATGTATCACTTTATGTAATCAGACAAATTATACTTTTTTATAAAACCTACAAGTTTTGAATAGGTTGCCCTGAACTTGAATCCTAGCCCTGCCAATTTCTACATGTGTAAATTCTGGTAAATTACTTAACTCTCTGAGTCTATTTCTCTTGTCCAAAGTTAAGAATAATTGTGCCTTCCTTGCCTCACAATATTAAGGTACTGGTAGTTGTAGCAATTATTCAAGGACTTCCTAAATCCTGGCCTGAAGCTGAGCTAGGTGGCCTTCATGTATACACCATAACATCAATAGTAGGAAAAAGCAATTTACCAAAAAGCTATAGACCTTTAGGAACACAGAGTTGGAGAACCCTACTGCATAAACCCTTGAAAGTCAGTCCAGCCAAATTCTGGGCCCCAAGTCCTCACCCTTGTTTCTTTCTGCCTTTATGGTGACAAACCAGCCTGCTTCACCCACCTGTTCCTTGATCCTCTGTTTCTGGACAAGGTACTGTGTGTCTCTAGCTCAGGTGTACACTTGTTTGCATCCAGTTAGTCCCCGGCTCAAAAACTGCACCATAGTAACTCAGCGCCTGCCAGAAGAGGTCTAAACCCTCGCCAGCCCTTCAGTGCCCTCTGTTATCTGAGCCTTTCCCCTTCTCTGTGTCTTCCACTACTCACTAATGTCTTCTCTTACTTTCCTTTGATCAAATCCATCTCTGCCCTATCCAAATATCTGTCACTCAGAAGAATGTACATTATCTCTAAAAATTCCCACCAACCCTGTGGTTTCCTGATTCCACCCATCAAAAGATAGATCATATTAAGACTAGGAAAGGCAATATATCGTACCTTTATGAGAACTCCAAGGCAGCACTGACATATATATTATTACATGAAACTGTCTATCGAAATCAGGAGAAATAAATGTTCAAAACATAAAAGTAGAAGAAAGAATTTGAATATAAGATTAGATTTAGCTCTTAAGCGGATTCTTCTCAAAAGGGTGGTTTACTGAGCACCTGCATCAGAATCTCCTGAGAAGATTGTTAAAAGGAAGGCTGTTGGGTGCAGTGGCTCATGCCTGTGATCCCAGTACTCTGAGTGGCTGAGGTGGAAAGATCACTTGAGCCCAGAAATTCAAGATCAGCCTGGGCAACATGGTGAAACCTCGTCTCTACCAAAAAAAAAATTAAAAATAGCTAGGTGTGGCAGCACGCACCTGTAGTCCCAGCTACTTAGAAGGCTAATCGCTTGAACCCACGAGGTCAAGGCTGCAGTGAGCTATGATCACGCCATTGCATTCCAGCCTGGGTGACAGACCACGACCCTTGTTTTAAAAAGATATAAAGGAAGGCTGCCAGGCTCCACCCAAACCTTTTGAATAATCATCTCTAGGGGTGGGATGGAGGACATTTTCTTACTTTGAGCCTAGTTTGAGAATCACTGCCCTAGTTACCTAAGTTATTCAGTAATATTATACTTGACGAAAGAAAAATAACTACGTGTGCCATAAGAATATGATAGTTATATTTCTTTCAAGATCCACATTTTAATTTATTAAATTTTTCATGAATTGAAAAAAAACAAAGTTCTACACCCACCAATGATTTTGAGTGATTTTCATCTTATTTATCAATTTATTTATTTAGCTTAAGTACTTTATAGATTAAGTAAGCAGTTTCTTTGCCCAGGTTAACAGGAACATTAGCATAGGAAGGGCATATTTCAGGCCTCTCTTTCCCAATCTCATTCCATCCACCATGTCCATTTGTTCCTATAGTTAAAGAAAACTTATCTTGTGGAACAATTTATAAACCAACCTTTCAAGGACAAAACAGATTGGGGAAAAAAAGCCAGAGTCAACCCACCAGAAGACCGAAGCATGAGCCCAAAGGCAGAACAGCCTCTCTGTATTTCTAGTGTTAAATGATACAGTTGTAGTGACAGGATAAATAGAATCACAGGGTCCTCAGATGAGCCAAATTTAGCCATAATCATCATTCCTGGCTATAGTTTTCCCTACACTTTTAATTAAAGGTGCATAGCTGATTAGTGCACTAGCAGGCAAGTTTGAAATGTAACACTCTAAAGGGGAACCTGCACCTGAGCCTGTCTCTGAACACAGCCAAATGCAAAACAGGCAGGCAGTGTTCACAGGGAGCTAAAAAGGGTTAAAAATGAGTCACCACTGGCCTCCTGTTTCTAAATTAACCCAGAGAAGCATCAAATCACACAATTAAAATGAATAATTCCTGATGGGCCTCTTAACAGTTATCTCTTGCTTGAGCTTTTGCTGAATCTGGTTTAGTTACTGTGATGCCACTATACCTAAGCATTGCAGCCGTTTAAAAAAAAAAGCCAAATTCACTAAATCTCAAATTCTTTCATCTTTAATCAAATTTAAACTCATGAAATTTAAAATGTTTCTTTAAAAAGAATTGAACTTTTGCCAAATAATATAATATGTAACTTCCAAAAAAAGTAAATCAAAGGATGCAGAGTATATTTTTAAGGGTGAGATTTCAAAATTTCCCACAACAAAATTATTAGTGTTTTATACTTGCATGCTGGGTACCAAGGATACTGACTAGGGCAAGAAAAGTGGGGGCTTGCCCTCACAGCACTTCAGGGTTCCAACCATCTCCAAAGTAAATCTATCATCTTCAATGTAAAATTAGTACCCAGATGATTGCTAGTTTTCCTTGACGTTTTGGTATTTTGTAAGTAATGCTTTTTATTAAGTTCTTTATTAAGAAGTGTTCCAATTTGCGTTTTCACCTATGCTTTAAAAAATTGTTTATTTTGTTTTTGTTTTGTGTAACACTGTTGACATACACAACACATATATCTCTCCTTCTACTCAATGATTTTTTGCTGGAGGCAAATTCAACTTTATACAAGACCAAGAAAAAGTTTCACTTACTTAGAACAACACAATACTAGCTATAGATTTCTGAGAGTTATGAGAACATACATTTATAAGAATTAATGCAATAAAGTCAAAATATTGGAATCAGTGATGGCAGATTCCATCCTAAAGCTCTGAAGGAGTTAAGAATTGCTTATTCTTCACTGCCACAGGAGTCTTCCCACCTATAAATAAAATCTGTCTTCTTATAATTAGACATAATTACTTCAACAAGTCAAAGAACAACTAAAATTTGCTTTGCCATTACTCTATAAAATATTCTGAATAAGCTGAATTAAAAGGTGGTTAGAAATGTCATTATCACTCCACCACAGCTCACAATGGGAGATACCTGAGACTCTGGGAGTATGGAGGGAAGTGGATGGCACAGAAGTTTTTCAGAATACTAAAGCTTGCCCCAGAATCTGATCTATTATATGAGGGAGGCATAAGAAGCCTTGAGTATAAGGAGAGACATAAGTATTGTATATGCCAACTGTGTTAGGGTAAAGACCCAGAAAATAATCCATTTTCAAAGCATATATGAAAACACAAATTGGAGCACTTCTTAATAAAGAACTTAATAAAAACATTACTTACAAAATACGAAAACATCAAGGAGAAACAGTTATAATCTGGCTACTAATTCTACATTGGAGATGGCAGATCTACATTAGAGAGGACTGGAACACTGAAGCTCCATGAGGACAAGCCCCTACTTTTCTTGCTCTAATCAGTATCCCCAGCACCTGGCATGCAGTATAGAAGACAGGGATCCATACAAGTTAGGAAAATAGGTGTTGGAGTCATATTGCCTGGGTTTGACGGCCAGCTCTATCATTTACCAGCCTATGATGCTGAGCAATTCACATAGCTCATTTGCACATTTTTTAATCTGCAAAATGGTACTTAGGCATAAGGTTGTTTAAAGAATAGTAAAAAGAATAACAACGAACACATATAGCACTTAATTTTGTGCCAGACATTGTTCTAACCACTTTGCATTTACAGCTATTTATTTAATCCTCCCTAAAACCTTCTGAGATAGAAACTAACGTTTCAATTGAAAAGCAAGGAAACTGAGACTCACAGAAGTTAGTAACTTGTCCAAGGGTACACTACTAGTACGTGGGGAAAAAGTATCCTGTTTCCAACCACTCCATCATCATTGAGATAAACTTGTGTTAAGGCTTAGTACAGTGCCTGGCATATAGCACATCTTCAATAACTAACAGCTATTAATAAATATTTGTCAAATGTTTGCAAGATTCTGAGGTTACACCAGGGCTCCGCAGGAAAGAATGCTGTAATCCACTGGTGATGTCTCTGTGGGTGTGGAAGGTATTAGTGATCACACTTGTGCCACAGGTTTTCAATCTCTTTCACATAAAACAAAGAATCCTGATATCTGCCTAAGGTTTTCTTTTCTCCATCTCAATGGGATCTGAGATCAGGCTGTCATCATCAGACACTGGATTATTGCCTTCACTCCCTAATACTAATCCACTCTCCACCCAACTGCCAAAGTGTTCTTCTGACAACATGCTTTCCTCACTTGCTCCCTTTCAAGGAACCTACAATTGGCTACCACCTCAAATCAAAATTCCACCCCCACCTTTCAAGGGCCTTAATATGACATGGAGGAAACCCGCTTTTCACTTCTGTTCAAGTGCTTAAGAGCCTACTTGTCAAATAAATACTTGGTAGGAACGGCCACGTTTCATTATGCAGAGAATAGCTGTGTTTGTGCTACTTCAGAACAGTGATAAGCAGTTTTTTATTTTACATAATATTTTACTTTTATGTATTTATCTTTGGACATAGCCCAATTTTTTAAAATAAATTGAGAATCTCATTTGACTTTCATTCAGAATGAAACAAGCTTGATCAGAGAAGGACATGAAAGGAAGAATTTCAGGAATAAAATTTGCATTATTATTACCCACTAGAAAGTTAATATCCAGGTAAATTTCAGATAGCTTTCTAATCTGTCATCCTGAAAGTGGAACCTGAATAACTGGGAGACTTTCTAATGACAGGAGATGGAAAGTCAGAACTAAAACAAAAACAAAAAAAAAGGAGTCATAACATCCTTAATATTCAAGACAATGCACCCATTTCCAAAAGAGTACCTTGAAAGGTTAACTACAGCAAATCAAGACATAAGAATTACTGGTGTTTATATCAAGGGACTTCTTTTAATAAACACAAGTTACTAAGCAACCACCAGTCAAATTAATGTCTCTAAGCCAACCACATCAATGGAAAAAAATAACACAGATTTAATTTAAAAGTTAGAGCATCAAACAATATGTGTTTTGAAGACTCAGCAGTATGCCAAATGTTAAATTGGCCTGTCCACTTGACATGCAGAGATGGAAGATTGTACTAGACGTTAATCTGATTTGCTTAGAAATGCAAATAATTTCTGACAAAAGCCACATCCAGATGTAGCTACATCCAGATTATTCCTGAGTTGAACATTCTGATGTCAACTCAGGATTTCTGAATGTACATTCACACGTTCAATTGGACAGTTCACATGTTCAGATAGGTGGAATAAGCAAGTCAACAGGTACCAATAGTATTTTTTGTTGGTTTTAGTTTTGTTTTAGAGTTTTGTTTTTGTTTTGTTTTGATTTTGTTACTGTTTCTTCAATCGAGGATGTTGGCCTTCTTAGTTGATTATATGAACTGGGATTCAATTTGATGAAATGTTTGGTGATTCATATAAAGTTATGATTTAAAAAATAGCAGAAGAGGTGATGTAGTAAAAAAGGATGAGTTCATGTCCTCTGTAGGGACACGGATGAAGCTGGAAACCATCATTCTCAGCAAACTATCGCAAGGGCAAAAAACCAAACACCGCATGTTCTCACTCATAGGTGGGAATTGAACAATAAGAACACTTGGACACAGGAAGGGGAACATCACACACTCGGGCCTGTCGTGGGGTGGGGGGAGGGGGGAGAGATAGCATTACGAGATATACCTAATGTAAATGACGAGTTAATGGGTGCAGCACACCAACATGGCACATGTATACATATGTAACAAACCTGCAAGTTGTGCACATGTACCCTAGAAGTTAAAGTACAATAATAATAAAAAGACATTCTAAAATTTGTCATTTATTTAGCAAATATTTATCAAAGAGCTGCTATGCATCAGCCCTAAGGAATGGAAATCTGGCTCTAATATCTTCAGGGATAACCATGAGTCATTTCCTGTAGTTTCAGTTGAAGCCATCTATAAATCTTTCATAAGGTCAAGAAAAAGAAGATAGTAGCAGACAGAATCACAAATCCAGTAGATTAATTAAAATGTCCCTAATTTGTAAATGTACCCACCAGGAAAGCACCTAGCACTTCCTGGACGGAATCTACATTATTTTCTCTCACATTCCTTCTACTTCTCATGTTTTGGGCAAGAATCATCAGTTTTCTTTTCTTGTAAAATGCAATCTCATTTCTTGGATTGTAGCTGTAAATTCTTACAGCTGGGAAGGGTCCTAAAGGAAGGAAATGATCAAACGGTGTTAATTAAGTCCTATGTGCTGAAAGTAAGAAGAGAGAACTATTACTAACAATTCTTTATAACTATTTTTATCAGTCCTTCTTAGGAATCAACCCCAAAGACACTCTCTCCTCCAGAAGCAAATCTCTCTATTGAGGACATCCTCAGGAAACTGGTTCCTCACTACTCCCTCCAAGCCTCCCACAAACCGTAAGAATCCTATGAAACAGGGCAAGAGTACCAAGAAACAGGCCTTGAAGGTTGAGATAGAGGTAAAGGACTTAGGTTATCTGCCTTATAATTTAAATTTTGGTGCTTACTTTATAGGTGAGGATAAGAAAACAAGTTTCTTCTTGAAATTCCCAAGAACCAGTTGCTACATAAATTACAGCCAACGTATACGCAAAAGCAGATTCTTAGTGGCAATTTGCTGTATCTGTGTCTGAACAGAAAACAATCAGCCAATTCATTTTGCAGGTAGATTCCAATAACATTTTATGCCTTTGAATGGAGAAGCTCTCATGGTGCAAATGGTAAACAAAAAGAGCCTACTGCTCAGCGACACATTAACTTGTATTAAAAATAAAGATATGTATAGTGTAGCTACACAATGCCCACTACAATCCAGTGGCAGAGTATATTTTTGAAGTGCAATGTAGCATCCATCCTGAAAACACAAAATTTCCAATGGAAACAAGGTCGGGATAAAAACAAAACACGGTGGCTTAATTTCTGTGTAAAACAACCGTCAAAACCTACCCTCAAAAAAATTGACACGAACAATCAAACATTCAGGTATAATTTATCTGCTGGAACAAATCTACGTTATTGACCTTGACAGGGCCTTAAATCATGAGACCATAAACAAGCATCCTAGTGATATCTATTATGTCTTCGGAAATAGCTTAAAATCCAGGACTTCATGTTATTGTCAGTAATGAGCAAGATGTTTGGAAAGCAGTGTGCTCACTGGGGCTTACTTTGAAAGCTGTCTTTTTTACTTACTACCGAACACTGATTTCCAGGAAGCAAGCCACCCCACCCCACTTCCCAGGCACTTGATTTTTTTTTTCAAACCTCTAGATTGGGTTCCGTTTCCTGAATTACTTATTCCTTACATAAATTTTCTTTTAAACTTCAGCAATTATGGCACCTTAGGCTCTGGGGGTATCAGCAGCGTGGGTTGTTTTAGAGAAAGTTCTGAAAAAAATATGTTTTGGAGACATTCCATTTCTTTGTGCATCTCACTGGGGGCTTTCAGCGAAAGCTTTAAGTTATTCAGGTGAGGGGCAATGTCTTAGTCGCTCATAAAGGGCATAAAAGTAACATCATCTGGAAAGGCATGGCACCTGCTCGGCCGGGGTAAAGGTCCGTTTTTCTAACCCTCGCCCCTCCCTCCTCCACACCGCGCCGCTAGAGACAGTGCAGTGGTCTCTCCCAAGGTCGACATCATCTCCAAGGCTGCAACCCAGGGCTGAACCAAAAAAACAGGCGCACCCACGTATAGGTCACGGCCAGAGTCCCGCCCTGCCACCAGCAGCCAGGTCTTCCTGCCTCCCTATCAAGGTGAAACTAACCCAGAGGGCCCAGCGGAGGGGCGCATACAGGCGGCGCCGATGGAGGCGGCCGATTGCATGACTGGCAGGAAGGAAGCGATCAGCCGCCAAAGTGCATTTTTTCCTCCCCTAGAGCCAGCCCGGGACCGGACGCTGCCAGCGGAAGGGCCGGCGCGCGCCAGGCCACGAGGCAGACGCACCCGCCGTGCGCACTTCCCCGTCCGGTGCGCGCTCTCACTCACGCGCGCGCGCCGCTACTCACTAGCAACCCTTGGTGTCCGCAGCCCGTGTGGGACGGCGACTGCGACGGCTGCCCCCGTGGCTGCCGTGTGGCCTTGGCATCCGTCCGGCTGCTGCAACCCGGGCCGCGGTGGCTTTTGCTGGAAGGCGTTGCAGCGGGGTGATACCGGCACCCGGCGACGAGGCGTCCGCTCGTTTGCCTCGGCCGTGCCTCCTCCCCCTTCTCCTCTGCCGACAGATGGAGCTTTGCTGGTTCCAGTCGCGCGGGCTCCGTGCGTCGTTCTCCTCCTCGCTGTCGGACACCCCAGCGCAGGGGACGAACAGCGTCCTCGCAAGCCCACGCGCAGGCCGGCCGACCCCGAACCTGCAGCAACCGTCCCTGCTGCCGCTGCTGCAGGAAAATAAATTGTCACTGCGATGGTCCCGGCCTCCCCTGCCCCGGCCCCTGGGTGCCGCCTCCGCCTCTGCCTCCGCCCCCTCCTCTGTGGCGGCGGCGGCGGCTTCCCGCATTCTGCAGAAAAAGCTCGCAGGTGGAAGGAAGCAGGGCCCCTGCGGATGGCCTAGAGCCCGAGTGAAGCGGTTGGGTGCGACTTTCGCATCTGAAACCCTGCACGTCTTCTCCCCAGACCGGAACCACCTAAACTCCCTTTTGCTCCACCATCAATTTCACCGAGATGGACAGGAGTGGTGCCTTTTAAGACTGCACAGTACACAAGCCTTGATGCAGCTGACCGTTAAACTGTCACTGGAGTCTGGGGAAGGATAGGGTTTTGGTGAAAATCCCACTTATACTTCATGTTAGGATTCCCTTTTTGATATTTATCCACAACTGGCTACGCCCACTATTAAGCATCTTAGCCCTTCCCCCTACCCCCAATTTGTGTGTACTTGGAAAATAAGAAGTATTAGAATATCTCCTGGATGTTATGTTACTATCACGTGTGGTGTTCTTACTACAGTTCTGGCACTGTGTCAGGCAGTCGGTACACAAAATCTTAGTCCATCTGCCACAACCCTGTATATAAAAGGGACTCATTTTTTGTTTTTGTTTTTGTTTTTTCCATGAACGAGAGACAGAGAAGTAAAATAATTTATCCCAGGTTACTCACCTAGAAAGCAGTAGAAGCTGAAATTTAAACTCTGATCCAACACTGAAAGCTGTTTCTATTGGCTTCACAGGTTCTATTAACTGATAAACATTTTATGGAGACTGCTGCTGCTGGATGAAATAGAGTCGCTTTTCTTGAGCTTGGTTGGGAGCTTACTTCCAAGTGAGAGAAATGGCTGCAGAGTGGGGTGGGGAAACACTGGCTTTTCTTAGTTAGCCTTTCCTCTGGAAACCAAAATTCTAGCCCTGGCTCAGCCACCAACTGAGTTATTTGGTCTCAAGCATTTCACCTTCTTAAGCCTCATCTCCCTGGATTCTTTTTTTTTTTTTAAATGAAGAGTTTGATTGTTGGAGGCAGCCTGCAGCCTTGATTTTTAAGAAGCAACAGTGTTGTTTTGCTTAGTTTTAAGTTGGTTCCAAATGTTGAAGTTAGGAAATTTCACAGAAATTCAGACTTTTCACATTTTCTGTAAAATCGTAACATCAGACATTTGGTCCATGGCGAGTTCTAGCAACCATCAGCTGAAGCTGAATAGCAGGTGTCGCCTTTAGACTGTGAAGACACTCTTCAGTTTTCCACAGTCCCCACCACTCCCATACACCCCCACCTCACTGACATTTGAGAATATGGTAGGCATTTGAGTTTGCAGTATTGAACCAGATAATCTCATGACCTACTGGACAATTTAAAATTCAGTGGTAATTAAGAAGGTTAGCCAGATTCCTAAAAAGCATTATGAAACAAAAAATTCCACGTACGTATTTAGAGTGGTCATTGATCATGGTCTTGCTATCTAGCATCCAAATTCTCATAAAAGCCAAAATGGCCCAATACCCATCGTCCCCTGCTCCCCAGCGGCTAGAGTACCATTTTGTGACCCAACATCAGCCTCAGAGACTCCTGTACAGTTATTTGAATCTGGATTATGTGTTTCAAGAAGAAACATTTTAGAAATGTCTCCATTATCTGTGAAGTGGGTTTTGTGTTCAGGGACAGTAGTGCCAGAGGTAACACTGCGGCAATGTCAGTGGTGTCCTAAGTGAGCTATTTGAATGGTGTGATGACCCACCTGTTGTAATTTCAGCTGCTAAGCTTCCCTTCCTGTGTAAGGAGACTTATTTGCCAAACTTCCTGTCTCTTTGGTATGCTACTTAACGACTTTCCAATATATTTCTCTTCTGATTCAGTTAGCCAGAAATGATTTCAGCGTTGTGACCAAGAACTCTGATATAGCAACTTTAGGTGTGATTTATTTCCCTTTTATTAATTGAGTTAATGAAGAGCAAGCACCAGTGTATTTATACAACTTTTATCTTAGAGAATTTTTAAGTGACCTATAGTTTTACTTGCATTTTTAAAGATTCAATCTCAATAGTAATTTAAAATCCAGATTTCTTTTTGCTCCAGAACTTTTGTTTCTCTTATTTTTGAGACAATTTTACCCTACTAAACCTTGAATGAAGATTTCAAATCTATATGCAAATACACATAAGCACTATTATTTTGCAGATGAGAAAATGAGGGCTCAAGTTACAGAATACATGAAGGCAGAGCAGTGAGGAAATCCTGGGCTATTTTCTGATATGGTAGAACAGGGTTTCGGACCTCCTGAATTCAGCAAGGGTATAATTTGCAAGTAATTACTCCCTTGAAAATCAGAGTTGACCACACTTGTAGTGAAATTCATTCCTGATAGTGCCTACTGGGTTCCACTCCAGTACTGGAAGCTGGACTGGAGACAGTGACCATGTTCCTTCACGGATCCTCAGTAGTGTGCACAGGGGAAGCCTGCTTTCTGAGGGAGCTGAGCTTTCTGTGCTTGTATCTAGATCTTCACAGTGGCACGACATAACTTCTCAGAGAGCAGCATGCCACCATTCAGTGATTTTAGGGAGGAAATCAAGTGTCACTGTAGTGTCTGCTGAAGTGCGATGCCTGCTTCTTAGGGAAGCCAATAACTCACTGGAAGCAGGTCTTCATACCCACAGGTGGATTGAAACTAGGGTTTACTCAGCCAACAGGGACTGGCCCAGTGCCTGGAAGGTCTAACAGGTGACCATCCTGTTGTTTTATGGCAACATGTGGGATTTCCCGTCCCTTACATTTTTAAACGGATGTCGCAGAGCAGAACATCCAAAGTGTAAGTGGTGACCTGGACAACGATGTGCAGTTTTCCATACATCTCATGAAATCTGGCCACAAAGACAAGCGCAACTTTCCCTTTTTTCCTCACTTTGGCCAGCAGTTCCTCTGAGAACTCACGTCTTTCAACGAATCTTGATACATTTCCTTCTGCAACGCCCTTTAGTATCTCCATCACAGTTGCTAACATATTTGACTGGATATGGATGATCATGTTTAAATTAGTAAACTTTATGCTTTCTGGATTCATGATGTGAGAAAAAATGGACATAGCTTTTGCCACCTGGTTCTGATGTCACAGGAAACAGGATGCTCTCCTGGAGAGAACTCCTTTGATTAGGGCTTCTTTTCTTAATGTAGTACAGACTTAGAAAGATTCAGAGCTATTCATTTTGTGGCCAATTGCAAAATCAAGAACATAGGTATCCTGGTGAACTTTCCATCTGGGTTTTTCATCTCTGTCAATATTTCCAAAGCACTTATATATTTGCTTTTGATAAATAACATAACCATCAAAATAGTAAATTGTGTGGAGTCTGAGAACCGTTGTAAATATTCATCTTTCCTGAGCTCCATTGCAGATTCCTCAAGATTCGAGTCGTAACACAGTCTTATGAAAAGTGGTCCAAACTTAAATTCCGCCAAAGTGACATTTTTGTTTTCTGTATGGTACTTGCAAATGATGTTTTTAGCCAGTTCCACATGGTCCCAGGACTCACGCAAATGAAGTAGGGTTCTCAACTTCCCCTTCAAGATGAGCTTGTTCTAGTTCAATTTCTCTTCCAAGTTTCTAAAATAGATTTATTTGGTGCCAGGAAGATTATATTCAACAGCCACCTTCTTATGCTGAAATTCTTTTAATTTCATAATATTATCTGTAAGTAGATATCTTTTTGCTCCAAGAGGACAGTGGCAGCAGGTGGAGCCGGAGCCTCTCATCCCGGGATACACTGAAATCTGCAGCGCTGGCAGAAGAGCTCATCTGGAGGACCAAAATGCCGCAGCCATACTGTCTCAGACTATACCAACTCCAGACTTTTTTAAAAGATAGGATTTTTTTTCTCTTACCAGTAATATTAACAAATGTTGCTTATCAATAAACATTTCTTCATTTCTGGTGAGGGTCCAATGAAATCAGCCCTCTTATCTGGTGGTGTGATTCTGTTACAGTGCTGGAAAGGAATTCGTCAGTGTGTCAAGGAACATTCTAAAATGTACTCTTCCCATCTCCTACAGTAATTCCACTTCTAAGAAGCAATTTATCCTAAGGAAATCTGAAATAAAGAATAAGATTCCTCCACTGAGATATTTATCACCAACTTTGGGTATTAAAATTATGTTTATGACGGACTTTTAATGATGTTGAAATTGCTTATGATACAATGTTAAGCAAACGACACAAAATTGCATGCGTATATATCTCAAGTAGGTAAATCTTAAATAGATAAGAATACAGGAGGAAATCCAGAAGAAATTATTTAAATGGCCTCCTAGAGATTGGTTATGGGCAATTATGGTTGACTTCTTTATACTATAATTTTAATTTTTCTATAAAGGACATGCTTTCCTTTTATTTTGGAAGAAAAAATATTTAGTAATTAAAACATAAACAGTCCTGGCGTGGTGGCTTATGCCTGTAATCCTAGCCCTTTGGGTGGCTGAGGTGGGTGGATCACGTGAGCCCAGGAATTCAAGACCAGCCTCTACTAAAAATACAAAAAATTAGCCAGGTATGATGGTGCACACTGTAGTCCCAGCTACTCAGGAGGCAGACGTGGGGGAATCACCTGAGCCTGGGAGGTTGAGGCTGCCATGAGCTGTGATACTGCCATTGGGCTCTAGCCTGGGCAAAAGAATGAGACCATGTCTCCAAAAATAAAAAATTGAAAAAAAAAAAGAAAACAGATTTGGCAGCCAGATAAATATGAAGTGGAATCTGCCACAGTACCTCATTCATGATGGGTACAATATAAATATTTGAGAAAAGGACAAAGGTAAGAATAAAGAAGAGAGGAAGGAAGGAAAGGCACATTATTTCATAAAGAAGAGTGATGAATTGAGTGATTGTGTCTCCCCTGTCATTTGCTTAGTTTATGCCATACATGGAAATAGGCCATTACATTCTAAATAGGTTCATTAACTAATGCTGCATTTGAGCATTTCCCAACTGATGACAAGTGACAAGACATTAATGCCTTTCTCACTGAAAGGGAAATATGGAGCCAGCACTCAGATTTTTTTCTGTTCTACAACATCAGAGCTAGATCTGTTCTGAGAAGCTGCCATAGCCTCAAAGTGTTGGTATTCAAGACAAAGAGGACCTTTCCTGCCTCTGACTGGTCTTAATATGGAGGTCTGTCACTCTATCTTTAAGGTACCCCAAAGGCCATGAGCTTGGAGTAATCTCTCGTCTCCCCATCTGGCAATGCCCTACTAGGATCTTATTTCTTCGAACTGATGGTACAAAAAGAGAATATTTAGTGTTGAATTTACCTTAGTCAGGAGATTAAAACTATTTTCATATACTGTACTGGAATCGTTTGGTGTATGCACACAAAGTGGTGGTTCTCATTGACTGTTCTTGCTGACACCAGATAGGCTGGAGTCCTTGTTCTTTGTTTTAAATTTAGAATTTCCAGGCTCTGGATTATCTCTAAAGACAAAGCATCCAGGGAAAGAAAAGAACTAAGACTCAAATGATTCTACTGGAAAAAAATATCCTTCTCAGAGATTATTATGCACTTTAAAGTATGTGCCTCAGAAATTGTTATATTATTGAAAACACATATTTTTAAAATTCTGGCTTTGTTATTGTTTTTATCAGTAGTTCTCAAAATATGGCTTAGGGATCCCTGACAGCCTGTAAGATCAAAACTATTTAAAAAAAAAAACCACAAACACATTATTTGGCTTTTTCACTGTCATTCTCATGGATTTGCAGTGGAGTGTGTCAGCTACACGTATGATATCACCACAACTAGAATGCAAATGCAGATAGGAGAATCCAGTCATCCTTAAGCCAGACTCAAAATATATTTGTAAAAATAGAAAGCAATGACAGTTTTCTCACTAATTTTTGTTTCGTTTTGGGAAATAAATTGTAATAAAAATGTGAATATTTATTTAGTTTAACGTCATTAATTTACTATTTTTAAATAAATTAATAAAATATGTTTAAAGTTTTTGCTTTATTTTTCAATGCAGTAAACATGGGTAGATATAACCCACAGAAACAAAAGCTCTCTGGAATCCTGAATCATTTTTAAAGATAGTTTTTAAAAACATAAAGAAACCTTTAGGCCAAAACGTTTGAGAAACACTGGTCTATGCTATTAAAGAGTAATAAGTTCCAAATAACCTATTTTTTTATTTGAGGAATTATAACTATGGTAATTTAGCCCGTGTCATTAAATGCAGGAAGCAACTCAATTGCTCCAAAACTGGAAATGGCAGGCACAGTTAATTTTTTCCACTCATGTGATTTATTTTGGTGCTTTCTTCCTGTTACTTTAAACTAAGACAATTTTGTATCCATTATGTCCCCATATCCAGATACTGAATGAGGTTTGGGAAATACATGGAATCTTTTCCTCTGCTGCCATTTGCAAATTGTCCTGGACCTAAGCTACCTGAGCTTATTTTTTCCCATTTGAAAACGGGGAATAATGGCTCTGGATTGCTCTTAAGGTAGTTATGAAGGAAGTGAAAAAGCATTCTGAAAAATTATGTGCTTTGCAGATATTAATATAAGGCTTACTACTAGTAAACATTTCAATATACAGGCAGACATTTGATGAAAAATGTAAATTCTCTTTTCTGCTGATATTATTTAACCCCTTCGATTTAGGTACATAAGGCATTGGTAAATGTGGACCAAATATTAATAGTGTTTGGGGTGTTAGATTTTTTTAAAATACCTTTTTTGCAGGCTGATTTACAAATGTAAAATATATGTTTACAAGGGCAGAAAGGTGGAAGGAGACCTGGCGGGAGGTCATAGAACAGCATCTGATCCCCACAATCAAAATATATAAATATACTCTGTAAAAATTGCATCTCCCCTGGGGCTGCTCCGGTGCAACAGAAATCCTTCCATCATAGACTTTTGCTATTATTTAACACCTATACAGTAGGTTTGAGCAGCTTCCTTTTAAAAGAAAAGTGGTAGATATACAAGATGGCACTGTATCGGTATTTAAATTTTCTTTGGTCAGGAAAAAAAAATCTGTTTAAAGAAAAATGTGACCACTGGATATTTTACTGGAGTAAATAATGCTATCTTAAAATGCAACTCTTAAATTTATCTATGGCTATATCAGCAAAGACGTGACCTTTCCAAGGACAAATATTAAAAATTGCAAATCCCTAAGTACATATTTGGGCATGTTTCTGGGCTTAACACTCAGGCTCATAATGCTGTAACACTATGTCTTAGTCTGTTCAGGCTGCAATAACAAAATGTCACAGACTGATTGGTTTAAACAACAGAAATCTGTTTCTCACAGTTCTGGAGACAGAGAAGTCCAAGGTCAAGGTACCTGCTGATTCAGTCCTGGTAAAGGTCCTATTCCTGGCTTGCAGATTGCTGCCTTCTAGCTATGCCCTCATAAGGCTGAGAGTGAGATCTCTGTAAGGTCAGCAGTCCTATCAGATTGGTGCCTACCCGTATGACTTCATTTAACCTTAATTACCTCCTAAAAACCCTTTCTCTAAATACAGTCACATTGGGGGCTAGAACTTTCACATATGAATTTTGGGAGGTTACCTGTTATTTGCCATTTGAAAGTAAGTACAAAATAGACCTTGGATGAAGCCACATAGTTGCATACCTGTCTCTGAGGAACTACAGCATTACAAAGGAGTTGTAATCATGGATTGGTCATTTTATACATTAATTTATTCAATTTTTCTGATTAAATGCCAAACTTTGTCATCATAATTCACTCTGTCATAATATATTATTTATATTTTCAGAGGCTTGAGTGAACACAAAGAAATGCATGCCCCTCTCCAAAAAGAGAAGGAGAATTTCTAATAAGTTGTTGATACTGTCTTTCTTTGACTTAATAATTTTATTTTAATCAGAGAAACCGCTATCATTCTTTGAGGTGGAAAACAGGGTGCCCTCTGAGCAAGAAGAACCTTCGAGTTTTAGTATCAGAAGGTATCAGAAATATCATTTAGTCCAATTTCCTTACTTTATAAAAGAGAAAACAGATCTTGAAAGTGCCAATAACTTATCCAAGTCATTGAAGACTGTACTACATCTAGTTATCTGTTCCATTCTGATCAGGAAACATGATTAACTTGCTACTACCTAGGTTTCTTAAAGATGGATTAAAGATTTAAACATAAGACCTAAAACCATAAAAACCCTAAAAGAAAACCTAGGCAATACCATTCAGGACATAGGCATGGGCAAAGACTTCATGACTAAAACACTAAAGGCAATGGCAACAAAAGCCAAAACTGACAAATGGGATCTAATTAAACTAAAGAGAGAGCTTCTGCACAGCAAAAGAAACTATCATCAGAGCGAACAGACAACCTACAGAATGGGAGAAAATTTTTGCAATCTATCCAACTGACAAAGGGCTAATATGCAGAATCTACAAAGAACTTAAACAAATTTACAAGAAAAAAAAACCCCATCAAAAAGTGGGCAAAGGATATGAACAGACACTTTTCAAAAGAAGACATTTATGCAGCCAACAAACATGTGAAAAAAACTTCATCATCACTGGTCATTCAAGAAATTCAAATCAAAACCACAATGAGATACGATCTCACATCAGTTAGAATGGTGATTATTAAAAAGTCTGGAAACAATAGATGCTGGAAACAATAGATGCTGGAGAAATAGGAATGCTTTTACACTGTTGGTGGTAGTGTAAATTAATTCAACCATTGTGGATGACAGTGTGGCAATTCTTCAAGGATCTAGAACTAGAAATACCATTTGACCTGGCAATCTAATTACTGGATATATATCCAAAGGATAATAAATCATTCTACTCCAAAGACACATGTACAAGTATGCTTATTGCAGCACTATTCACAATAGCAAAGGCATGGAACCAACCCAAATGCCCATCAATGATAGACTGGATAAAGAAAACGTAGCACATATACAGCATGGAATACTATGCAGCCATAAAAAATGAGTTCATGTCCTTTGCAGGGACATGGATGAAGCTGGAAACCATCATTCTTAGCAAACTAACACAGGAACAGAAAACCAAACACCGCATGTTCTCACTCATAAGTGGGAGTTGAACCATGAGAACATATGGGCACAGGAAGGGGAACATCATACACGGGGGCATGACAGGGGGAGGGGAGCAAGGGGAGGGATAACATTAGGATAAATACCTAATGTAGATGACAGGCTGTTGGGTGCAGCAAACCACCATGGCACGTGTATATCTATGTAACAAACTTGCACGTTCTGCACATGTATCCCAGAACTTAAAGTATATATATAAAAAAAAAATTCGATAGGCACCTGTGTTCAACCAAACAGCCATTATTGGCCCCAAGACAGTTGAATTTTAGGTCATCAGGTGTGATCTTTAGAAAATTAAGGTTGAGTCGATGACCCTGTACCCTCTTGATCCAAAATGTTCTTCTCTACTTGGATTATTGGAACCATGAGCACAAGCCACTTTGGCAGAAAGTGAAGCTATTTACTCCAATGGTTAAGACAAAAAGCTCTGGAACCAGATAGACCTGGGAAGCTTAGTTTGCCACTTTGCATTTTTGTGGCCTTTGAGCCAGTAAATTAATTTCTGTTTCCTCATCTATACGACAGGGAGAATAATCCTAATTTAAAGAAAGTTTGTAAATATTCGTGAGCTGGTCTACTAAAGTGCTTAGCCTGTGTGGATACCCAATAAATTATCATCATCATGGTTAGTAGTAAAAGACAATTCTCAATTAGGAAGTAGTAGTTAAGGCTGAAACAGATGAAGAGACATCCCTGAGCTATCCTGTAAGTTCATTAATTCACACACACAGCAATAGGAAGTTGTGTGTGGTGGGGGAAGCAAAATCTGTCTTTGTATTTACAGGGCATTTAACATGCAAATATCCAAGCTTACTTTTCTGGACAATGATGCACTTTACTTAAGTATTTAGTTTCTGTTTCAGCCCTGATGTCAGGGCCAAAAAGAGACATTTGCAATGCAGGCTAGGAGACAAAGGAAACAAAATGCATCTCTTAGCACATGTTTCATTAAGATTTGATACTAGCTTGATTAAAATCTATATTGACTTAGCCTAAGGAAGCTTTTGCAACATAAATAACTTCCTCTAGCATTATCTCAGTGCCTGGAGAATGAGTTGAATTCCAGAAGCTCTTGGATGATGGGGGATGGAATTACGTGTGATCTTCAGTTTCTTCTTTTTCCTTTATTTTTTGAATGGTATTATTTCTCTGCTTTTCCAATATTTCTGAAAAAAATCTATTATTTGTATAATAATAAAAATTTTTAAAGTTGTAAAAGAAATACATCTTCTCTCTAATACACCACTGTAAAAGGCCATTTTGAAAGGGGCTTCAGGCCACTGTGTTCAAGATGATTTGGAGAGGAGACAGACTCGAAGCAATCATCTGGGCTTAAGATGGTAAAACCTTAGGTCTTTCCCCAATATGTTCTCATTTTGGTCTTCCTACTCACTGTAAAAAAAGAAAAAATATATATCATTGAAGAATAAAGATATTTAATGCTGCAGGAGACAAATCTGGTTGCTCTAAAGGATTTCCATGAGCTGATGACCTCCAGTGAGTCCTCTGATGAGGGGATCTAGGACATGCCCCTGAGGACTTGCCTTAAACTAGGTGTTCCTGACAGAGGAGGTCTAGGATGAGCCTGGGGGCTCTGGAAAAACTGCTGGGACTCACATCTGCCTCCTACACTGCTCCTTTTCTGATCAGACAAACATTTCGCCTCTCTTATCCCCAGACTTTTAGGATGCCATTTAACGAATTACCCAACCAAACTTTGAGGCAAACAGCCAACTATTTACCTCTTCTTCATATAAAACTAGAATGTTTTTAAAATAAAGATCTAAAAACAGAAAAATTAAAATCATCTTGTGATCTCACCACCCAGAAAGATCCAGCACTTTGGCTTATCTACTCTTAGATACATCTATTTATACAAACACACATACTACTCCATATATCATTCTATGTTTATTTTACCAAACTAGTATTAGAATATGCATGTTCCTTAATAACTTTTTTCTTTTAACAAATGGAGAACATTTTCCTACATTAAAAAAAAATCTTACAATCTTTACATCCAATTACATCAGCTCAACAAATTGTCACCAGATGACTTCTAAATGTCCAGCACTGAGAGATGCTACAGGAGTCCCAGTTCTGCCACTTACAAGCTCTTTATTCTTAGGTAAGTTACTGACTCTAAGTCTCAATTTCCAGATCTCTAAAATAGCAATGAACATTATATTGACTTCAGTGTTTGTGGGGTGATTCATTAAGGTGATGCACTTAAGGTGCTGATCAAGGTTCCTAGCATGTAGTAAACAGTCAGTATTAAATATCACTGTTAGCATTATTTATAATAGTATTGAGCTTGTCTCTACCATATCTTTCAAAGGCGTTGATCATCCTGACCCAGTAGTCCATTTTCCAGTGAAAATTCCTGTCTTCTTTTTCCTTCTTGGGGCGTTGTATTGTTTCACAGCACATTAGCCACTGTGTTGGTCTGGAAATAACCAGCCCAGTCTTCATTTACATCAGTAAAGACACATAAAATCTAACTTTACATTTGTTCATAGCCATATACACTGTATGCCTACCATTCCATTCAAATCTAAGGAAGCCTAATTCAAAATTACTATTAGGAAAAAATTAACAACAGACTATTCATATGAAAGCAAAAAATAAATTTGAAAACAATGTAATATCATACAATTATTTTATAAAACTTAACTTTTTTGTGATGGTTAATACTGAGTGTCAACTTGATTGGGTTGAGGGGTGCAATATGGATCCTGGGTGTGTCTGTGAGGGTATTGCCAAAGGAGATTAACATTTGAGTCAGTGGGCTGGGGAAGGCAGACCCATCCTTAATTGGGTAGGCACCATCTAATCAGCCTCCAGCAAATATAAAGCAGGCAGAAAAATATGGAGAGACCCGATGGGCCTAGCCTCCTAGCCTACATCTTTCTCCCGTGCTATGCTTTCTGCCCTCGAACATCGGACTCCAAGTTCTTCAGTTTTGGGACTCGGACTGGCTCTCCTTTCTCCTCTGCTTGCAGACATCCTGTTGTGGGAACTTGTGATCATGTAAGTCAATACTTCATAAACTCCCATATACATATACGTGTGTGTGTGTGTGTGTGTGTGTGTGTGTATCTCCTATTAATTCTGTCCCTCTAAGAGAACCCTAATACACTTTTCTCACCACTTAGGGGAAAGAGGGAGGACATCTTTGCATCTTTAGAATCATTGGCACTTAAATAACAAAAAGTGACATGCAGCTTGGTAAAACAATCAAGATGCAAATAAAATATGCATTTTAAATCAAAGCATGTGAAAATATACACAGAGAGAAATAAAATGATTGGAAAAAAATGCACATAGATATTGATAGTGAATTTTCCCTAAATGAGTTTTTAGAATCATGTTTCTTTATTTTCCAATTAAAAAAAAATAAGTGTTACTTTTTTGCTTTGATTAAAATCTAGCAAATGTTATGTTTTAAAAAAAATAAGAGTACAAACAAGAATTTGTAGCATGTGGGACTCCCTCCTCCTGTTTAAATTGAGCAGTAAACCAGAAGATGATCCATAAGGCCCCTTCTGACTCTAACAGTCTATAATTCTTTAAGGGAGAGTGCAATGTGACATTTAATTAATGTAAATCATAGAAATGCGAACATAATCAAAGCAGCTTATCTTAGAAGGAAGATGATATAATATGTACAATTCACTTTGGAAAATTGCTAGAAAAATATTATTTTGTTTTACTATAAGGACGAGGCAGAACACTTTTAGATCAGAAAGTCTATATTGTGAACTTTTTGAGAAGCAATCCTTCAGGTATAACACTTTATTTTATAATCTCAGCATTGAAGTGTACGTTAATCAAGAAATATTTAAACTTAGATCATTACCCAACTAGTATAAATGTACTTGTATAAATCAAGGAACAAAAATTGTATCTCACAAGAACTGAGAAACACTATTCCAGGAAGCATTGTTGCAGAGTAAGCAACCAACAAGCAGTTACTCTCATCAGCGGTCCTCATGAAGAAGTGTTTTTTCATATAGATTAAGATAAAATCTCTAAGATTCTAGAAACTTGCAGGTCAGGGATTTAACACTTTTAGAAATTGTATTGTTTGAAGAGTTTACCCCAGGTCCAGGCCTTCTGGATGATATAAATACCCAGTTCCTTTTTCTTTAAGATTGAACCTAGGATAGATCTTACACCTGGCTTTAGTAAATGGGAAGGCAGATGATTTACCCAATGTCTAAGAGGCTAAATTAATCAACCAAAATAAAGGACAAGAAATGGGTGTGTATAGGCATTTTCTAAGGAGAAGCAACCACTTCTTTAGTGTTTTAGACAGGGTTAATAGTTGTGAATGAAAGAAACCAAGCAGAAAATATTGGCTAGAGCTCACAAACTCCAGATGGGTCCAAGAATCAGGTTTGAAGACAATGCAGCCAGGGCCAATGATGAAAATTATGCGGCAGAACTGGTCTGGTGGATATACCACTGGCACCATTGTCAGGTTGAGTCACTAATCATTGAGCCAACACTGGTTATTGAAACCTGTCTTAGGAGACAATTCTTCATTGGTGTCTTGCATTTCTTCACATCTTGCAAGCAGAAGCAGAAGCACTGGTTTGCCTTTGTTCCAGATTAACTTTTCAAGTATGTTCATGCAGCGAAAGCCTTGGAAGATACAGTATTTTCCTCCAGAGCAAAGGGCAGACATGCTTAGTGCCCATTATAAAGGATTCAGGTTCCTCTTTTGTAACACAGCCATTGTTTGTTCAGGCATCTATGTGAGCCCATCCATATCTTCTCTAAAAAAAATGCAGGTCGGGGGAACAGGGTACATGCTATGTTCATGTGGCTTGATGTGCCTTGAGTAGTAGAGACTTTTGTCTATGACCCGTGGGTCTCATGTCTTCTACCAGGATTCCTTAAAACGGCAGATTAACCTGGTAGCCAGTGAGTAGTGTAAAATCTCAAAACCTTCACAGTTTTTGCATCTTTCTGCTAGAATTGTTGCCATTACTGCTTTTAGAGATTAGAGGCAGACACTAGAATGGAAATGGCAGAATATCAACTTCTTCTCTTCCGAGTTTCTAATTCCATGCTCAGATGGCAGGTACTTCTAATTGTTTTACAATGTTGGACCCCAGGTCATATGTCTAAGGTGAAAAGGAATCTGAGAAGTCTATTTTTTTTTTTTTTTTACAATTTCCATGGTAGGAAATTCTCCAAACATAGCTTGCTTGGGACCACAGCCAAAATCATAGACAAATGTCTACTGTTAGCAGTCATTCTGTATTTTTTAAATTGATACATAATTGGAATTTGACTCTGTCAAAGGCTCATTCCAACAACAATAACAAAAATAGGTCTATAACATCCCTCAGGGAAAGGCCTTACAGTCCATGGCTCTTAGCAGAGTTGTTTGTGTCACTTGGCAAAAATACACCAGATGGCACTCTAAGTTGTAATTCTACTTCTGTTTTCTTCTAACTAAATTGAATGAAGTGTTTTCATCTCCCATAGCCTATTAATGGGAGGGCAAGTCAGTGCACATCGGAGTCCAGGAAAAGTAGGAAAAGTAGAGGGATACATCCCAGTTTTTCCTACCACGCTTCTTAAATAAGATTGCTTCCAGTGGTGCCATGGGTGATTCAGAGCTTGGATGAGGCATGTGCTAAGGGTGTCCAAGCCCTTACATAACCGTAGGTGGGACCGAGCCACTACTACCTGGGACAGCAAGAAGGTGGAAAGACTGAGGATGGGAATTCTCTTAGAGGATGGTGAGTTAGTGGGAGTGGGAAAGCAGCACTCACAGGAGAGGGTCCTAGAAAATCACAGTTCTTGGGAACTAATTTTAATCCCATTTGTCCTGCTCGAGCTCTGTGTGTGTGTGTGTGTGTGTGTGTGTGTGTGTATTTTAAATTTAAGAGCAACATACATATAGAAACATGTACAGATCATAAAGTCAACTGATTATCCTACAGTGAATATGCCTACAAAACCACAATCCAAATCAAGAAATAGAACATTGCCAACACCCCAGAAACTCCCTAAAAGCTGTTTTCCAACTACCATCCCTTTTCATTCCTCAAAAGTAACCACTACTCTGATTTTAACATCATGCATTAGTTTGCCTCTTCTAAAATTTATCAAAATGGAATTACATCTTCTTTTGTATCTGGCTTATTTGGTCAATATTATATTTGTGCAATTTATCTATGCTTTTGCAGGTAATAATAATTTTTAAATTTTTATTGCTATGTAGTATTTTATTATATTAGTGTATCAAATTTTATTTATCTGTTCCACAATTGATGGAATTGAGGTTAAGCTAACATTTGTCTACTGCAAATAATGCTACTTGAACATTTTTGTATGTCTTGATGCAGGCATGTTTATATTTTCATTGGGTAGATTCTAGGAAAATTTCTTGGTAATAGGATGTTCATGTGTAGAAATTTAATACATACTTCCAAACAATCCAGAGTTTTGTAGCAACTTATACTCCTACCTGCACTGAAGTTAAATGTGGAAGACCAGCATGCTTCACACAAAGTACATACTCAATACATATTTATTGACAGAATTAATACATAAAAGTAAGTAATTTGTTCTACAACAAGTGGACTCAACTCTGAGTTTAGACCATGTGCTTTTAATTTCTACACTGTACTATTGAAGAGAAGTGTTCAATTCAATTTTTACACTAATTGATGAGGCTCCACCAAGATTAAGATACATAAAGAGCTATTGAGACAAGAGATGAATGGAGATTGGAAGGACAGGAGATCCATTAAAAGGAGAATCTAAATGTTTTTCTGGGCTCTCTGAATCGCTGATGTATTGATGCAAATACATTAGTGGCAGTTATTTCAACCAAGCATGTTGGACCTAGCATTTAATATCCTGACTACACCATATGGGTAATCCAGCTGTGGGTCCAAGCAACTGAATTAAGAGCTGAAAGAAACATTCAAGGTCAATGAGTTACCTCATCTAAGGCTGGTCCCTTGTTCATCCCAGGTTTAGCCTCTTCTTGAGTCCAGAGAACTCATATTAAGTGCACTTAATCAGGTTGGCTTCTCCCTTTGTTTCCAGGGTAAGTTGTATCTGTTGAGAAACTTTGAATATATGTACCAGAGTCATATCCCTACTTTCTCCTATTCTGATTATATGGGAAAAATTTGGAGGACAGGGAAAGATAATGGCCACTCATCATTTGGTAGCCTAACCTGGGTTTCTTTTTGTGGTGGCTGGATTTCGAAAGAAGGCAGAAAAGAAACTGGCAGACCTCTTAAGATTTAGGTGCAGAACTGGCATACCATCCCTTCTGGCACATCCTAGTGGTCAAAGCAAGTCCCAAGACTAGCCCATATTGACGGCAAGAGCAGTCTGCAGGCACAGGTATGGGAGAAATTGTTGGTGGCCACCTTTGCAGACAATTTCCTACACTCTTCATGTTCTTGACACTTCAAATCATTAGTTCATCTAATTTTGATGACTATTATTTCACTGTTCTGCAAATTTGATGGGTTTTTTTTTAAAGACAAAGTCTTGCTATGTTGCCTAGGCTAATCTTGAACTCCAGAGTTCAAGCAATCCTCATGCATCAGCCTCCCAAGTAGCTTGGATTACAAGCATAAGCCACTGTGCCCAGCTTATTCTTCCACTTTTCAGATGAAGAAACTGATGTTCAGAAATCTGTAGGTCAAATAAATGCCCAAAGTCATCAATCTTGTAATGATAAAGCCAGGGAAGGGATCTTCTTCTCTCTCTCTCTTTTTTTTTTTTTCGAAGAAGTTGGTGTTCTTTTTAGTTACCTACAGCATTTCTCGTTTTTGCAGTATTGGTTAGGATACAATTTGGGTGTAAATTTAAACAACTTTGAGTTCAAGGGCCAGAAGAGAAAAGTGAAGCCTAAGTAGGTTTAAATTCATACAGGGATCAGAGCAGGAGCTTGAACCAAAGTCCTATATTGGTCTTAGACATCCAAAGCCCCAGAGAAGCACCTGCCACTCCGGCTCACCCAAATAACTCAGCATCTGTGGCCGTGCCTGCAGGGCTCCCCATTATCACATCTGAGTGTTATGACCTGCTGAGTGTTGAGCCCCTTGGATGTGCTTGGCGATCCAGGAGGCAGAGGTGAACTAATGATTGTTTCCACCTGTTCTATGTGATCAGGAGCCATGGGAGAGAGGAGCCCTGAGGTGAAGGACTGGGAAAATGTACAGAAAATCTCACATCAGCTCCTAGCTAATTCAGCCTTCTTGTTGGAACACCTGTGAAGGATTCTGCCTCATGCTGTTTGCCTCTGGGCCAGTGTCAGAGGGGTTTTGCTCTGAGAGGGAAAGATTAAGAACTGTGAATTTGCCCACCATGACATTTATATATAGTGTTAATAACACCAGTGTTGTAATGCAACAGGACAATAGCTGGTTAAGTTGTATTTTATAATAGAAAGGTCAGGGAGTGCAAGATCACAATTAGCAATATGGAGTGTCAATGGTTCAATGGTTCTTAGAGGCCAAAACGAGTCAAGGTCTGGAAGCCGAGAAACCATTAATGATAGCAGAAAGTCTACATTAGTTTAAGGAATAAAGCTCATTCAAATGAAATAAACTACAGTTCCTAGGGGGAGCAGGAGTGTATAATAGTACGGAGGAGGACTTTAGAGGCAAGCATCTGAGATTGAGTCTGAGATGATGTCTGTTCATCTTGAGCAGATAATTTTACCTGATGTCTGTTCATTTGAGCAGATAATTTTACCTCTCAGAGTCTTAATTTCCTTATCAGTAAAAAGGGAATAATAATAGTGTCAGTCTTCTAGGGCTACTGTAAAAGAGCATTAAAGGGTGCCATGTGGATAAGGTTCGTGAGCTATGTCCAGTGAACAGGAATCACTCAATGAATACTAGCCATTATTACTATTTTTTACAAACGTTATTCCAAAAAGCCATTATTTTTCATTATTATCTAAAGAGACTATCATGACGACTGAATAGACAATATGTGTTACGCACGTGGCAGAGGGCTCAGCATATGCTGAGTGCTAAATAAATGAGGACTGTTACTATCAGTATCAAGTAAATGCTAGGTAGTCACTAAAAATGATATTGAAGCCTATTTTATAACATGGAAGGATGTCATATACTTTTAAAAGGCAAGTGTAGATTGTAAAATGTGCACAAAGTCTCATTTTTTGCAAATACATAAATTGTGTACATATCCATATGAAGGAGATTAGGTTATATACCCAAAGAGATGCCATATACTTTAATGGTTAAAGTAATAGATACTGAAGCTAAATCTCCTGGCTTTGAATCCTTGTATTACCATGTATTAGCTGTGTGACCCTAGACAAATTACTTGATGTCTCTGTGCCTCAGCTTTCTCATCTGTTAAAAGGGGATGGTAATAGTACCTACCCCACAGGATTGTTGACCCTGTTAAAAGTGTTAGTACACGTAAAGGGGTTAGACTATTTTCTGGTACAACAAATACTATCTATATATTTGAAGATGCTATGTGTGTGTGTATTATATGTATGTGGCAGAATTCTTGGAATTTTTTTTCTTTTCTATTTTCCAAATTTCAAAGTTTTTATTTTAAAGACTAGAAAATCAGTTGGGATCAGTTGAAGCAGTATTTCTCAATCTTTTTTCATTGTCCCCCACCAAGGAATCTTTGTAGACTTTTTCTTTTAAATTATCCTTCCTCCATAAATTTTATTACCGTATATATATACTGTATATCCATTTATGTACTTGAAGGGAACCAGAATATGCCATTCCAAAATATGCTACATTGGTAAAAAGATAATTTTAAGTTGAAGACATTTGTGATTGAACAAATTTAGAAAAGGGGAAAAAGAAAAAGCAACTTTGAAGCTTCCCTTTTCTGACTAAAGGAGCAACTTCTGGGAAACAAGATTGTCACAAATCCTTTTCAGGGCATGTCTACTCCCAGAAGAGAGAGAGAAAATAAAACCTACCCCAAATCTCTTCTCCAGGAGGGTTTTATGACCCTGAAGGAGATGAAAGACCATTTTGTCCTGTGTAGACATTTTCACAAACTTTCTTATTGCCTGTTTTTTCTCCTGCAAATGCATTTATTTTTCCAAAAAGTCATTTGTTTCCCATAAGTGCCTTTATCCCTTTACTTATTAAAATGGTATATAAGCCCCAAATTCTAACCACCCCTTTGAGTTACTCATCACCAAGCTCTCCCACATGTACGCATGTTGCATGAATGAATAAACATTGTAATTTTCTCCTGTTAATCTGTTTTTTGTTAGTCTGATTCACGGGCCCTGGTGGCTAAACATAAAGAAGGCAGAAGAAAGTTTTTTGCCCCCTCCCCTACATATTATATTTCTATCTGTGCTATGTTTATAAGGATAATAGACTTTTTTCCCCTCAAGAAGAAATTTCATTTCCTGGGAAAACAATATTACTCTCATTGAGAATGTATGAGTTAAAATACAAAAAACAACCCCATATTAATGGTCAAGGAAGAAAGCTATAGTGTCTAGGAAGTTTAGTAGGTCAAAATCCTGGTAGTAGCAATTCAGATACACAAACAAACCTGTTGATATTTCATGGGTTATTTACCACAAGGGCTGTTTTGAGTTTCATGCCTGGAATAGAAATGAGCAGGCAGTTCTGGCCCCAAAAATGCCCATCAAAAGATGAGTACAGCTGTTGAAAGAGTAACATTAGGAACGTTATTCATTATACACCTTCATTAATTTTATGTAAAGAATTATCAGAATCTCAAACCCAAACGCATTTAAATATAAGTGCAAAAGTGCACCTGAAGCCAGATAAAATGTGAAATTTCCCATTGTGCTATTTCCTCTCTAGGCTTTTGTGTTGGAAAGATCAAAAATTGTCTTTTTTCTAAGTGGCCCAGTACCCCTAACTTTTGAATCACTTATTGGAATGCTTATTCAAATGCAGGTTCCCACATCCTCACCTAGAGATTCTGATTCATTACTTCTCATGTTGTGGGGGGTGGGAGGGTATTTACATTTTAGTAAGCCCCCAAGTTATTCTTTCTTTTTTTTTTTTCTGAGATGAGTCTTGCTCTGTCACCTAGGCTGCAGTGCAGTGGCTGGGTCTCTGCTCACTGAAACCTCCACCTCCTGGGTCCAAGCAGTTCTCCTGCCTCAGCCTCCCAAGTAGCTGGGATTACAGGTGTGTGCCAACTGTGCCTGGCTAATTTTTGTAGTTTTAGTAGAGATGGGGTTTCACCATGTTGGCCAGGCTGGTCTCGAACTCCTGACCTCGTGATCAGCCCACCTCAGCCTCCCAAAGTGCTGGGATTACAGGCGTGAGCCACCATGTGTGGCCCCCAAGTTATTCTTAGGCACATTACACAATGATGCTGAGGATGATACTAATGACAATGATAGAGAAAATACATAGATTACTGAGTGCCAGACACCAAGAATTCTTGCTCATCTCAAGGAAAAGGAAATCCTAGGAAACTGGTTCAATACTGGATTTCTTCAAAGCTTTGGAAAGGCTCAAGACACTTATAATTTGATTTAAAAAATAAAGATTTGTGATGTCTCTTATACACTAAATGTCAGCCGAATTTCTCTCTGTCACAGTTTTATTAGTCTTTTTAAATACTGCATCATACACCTGGCTCAAAACATAATTTTGGGGTTAAGAAATGTAAAGTAGAGGAGAAAAGAGGCTAAGAACATGGAAAAAAATCTTCTCTATAGTAGTATGATAAGTGCCTTATAAAATGGTTGGCCATGAATGAAGTTTTAGTCTTATAGTTTTTAAGTCTTTTAGATGCTCAATTCTTAGTCCTTTCAAAGCAATTTTAAAGTCGACAGAATAGAATGTTTTCTTTCAGGTTGGTGAATGGGTTCTGTTCACTTGTTTTGGTGGATTTGTGAGTGATAGAGGAAAAGAAAGAATGTTTTGATTTGATAATGAGGTATGTGATAGTATTTCTTTGGATAGCTGCCTTATTTCATGATAAAAGGTTGGTTGTAAAAGGTCTGAGTATTACCAAGAAGTAGCGGGGAAGTAGGTCGGATTTTAGAGAGGAAGGATAGGCATCTGGCCAACCTAAAGGCAGACTGCCATGACCTTAACAACTTAATTTAAAAAGAGAAGCAAACCTTCTCCCTCCAACACAGTCCAAATAACCCTTTATTATATATAAAAAAGGACAAAACAAATAAACAGACAAAACCTTGTGAAAATATGAGACTACATTTTATAGACTCAGAGTGGAATGTGATGCATGAACATTAAGGACCTGCCAGGGAGTTGAGATACAACATCTCTTTTTCAACCTGAAAAGGCACGTGAAATAAGAAAAAAAATGTAGTGCAAAGTTTAAAGTAGGCAGCACCCTTCATCTTAGGTCAGAGTAGTAGACTTATACCATAAAAAGTATAGCTTGTCTCATACTGTGAAACTGGTTTTACTACACAATTCCTGAGTCACTGGAGGAGTAATGGACAGTTTGCAGAAGCAGGTGACTATTTCTGGAAACAGTCATCGAGCACAACAGGATTTCTCAGTAAGGATTTATCAGTAATAGAGTTATTTCTTATTCTATTTTTACCAAGAAATGTAAACTCCCTTGTCTTAGATATATTATCTCATAAATTAAGAAACACAAATCACAACATTTCAATGACTATGGGACATTGATCATGACATGTACTCTGTGTGTTTTCATTAAAGCAAATGATAATAACTAATGCTGCAAGTACATGGTAGAGGATGACAAAGAAATAGAACACAGCAAGAAATTAAGTGTTGCATAAGTGGTAAACAATTAAGTGGCTTATTTTTAATTTAAACTTATAATGCCAATATTTTTATTTTAAGGACTGGCTGATACCATTTCCTCCTCCATAGAAAAAGTTTCTTAGTTACTAGAAAATTCAAAATTGATTCCAAATTTTACAAGATTTTTTGAGTCTTGGGAGAGTTAAAGTGAATTAAATTAGAGACCAGGCCTGAAGAATCCCTGAGCACACAAAGTCAGTCAGGCCTCATAAGTGACCTTAACCTTGCTTGATTTGCAAACATAAGCAAAACTTATTTGGGCCTTTTCTTTTAAATCTCTATATTAAAGAAAAAGGAAACTTAAAGTTAGCTAATCAGAAGTCACCACCTAATTAGCATATGGCTAGGGACTTTTCAGCAGAATAAACCAAATAAGGCAACTGCATTACTATAATCAATCAAATATTTTCTTTGCTTTAATTCCATGTTCATCTTTGTTCCCCTTGCATTTCCTCCAAAGAGATCCCAAACCACTTCTGGTTTGGTGCTGTCTAATACATGAATTGTTATTTGTTCAAATCAACTCTTTAGAGTTTTATTGTGCCTCAGTTTACCTTTTAAAAGGAATAAAGACCCTATGTTAGTGTAAAGCAATAATTACTATTGCAATTTGGCCTCTGACTCCTGTACTTAACTTAAAGTTAACATTCAAAATCAAAAAGCCTCCACAAGTAAGAGAAAAATAGAAAAAGATAGCAGGGTTCCAATGCTTAAAACTCAGAAACATAAACATCCTGATTAGCAAATGTACTTATTTAATTAAATAGTAACTGTCAACATTAAAAGGCATACAATAAAAAATGTCCTTGAGTGAGTTAAAGAAGAAATAACTCTGTACAACCAAGGACTTTACAAAGTTTTAGAGGAAAAAAATAACTTTAATAAGGTTTCCCAACTCTTCTATTTCTTACATTGAGGATTATTAATCTAATGCTAATGACCCTCAAAAAGCTTAATCTCTAGTGTAACCCTTACTCTAAAACTCCAGAATCATATAACAAGCTTTCTATTGGCATCTCCACTTAGTGTGCTAGAAATATGTTCCTTAAATAAAATTTGTGCATACCTGAGCTAATCATCTCTTCCCAGGCTTTCCCTAATCTTGCTCTTCCAGAGTTTTCTTTGAAAGATAAAAATCTACCAAATTTCCAAAGCCAGATACATGCATATTATCCTTGTTCTGCCATTTCCCATGTATCTTATATCAGATGGATAATTCTGTTATTTCTAGCTTCTAAACATCTCCATAGTACTATGTTAGTCCAACTTAAGTAAAGAAAACAACCTAGTTATTTAAACACAAAGAATTGAATGTCTGGAATTGGTTAAGTAGGTATTGGAAGACTAGAAAGTAAAAAGAGAATATTAAGGTAACACAGAGATAGAATTGCAGGAACAGCTACCACCCCTTGGACTGAGGGAACAGAGTGAGGTTGGGGTTATTAGAACTTAGGAGAGAAAAGGGCCTTGAAATTCTGGGCCCCAGGCCTTGAGGAGGGGCCATTTCTTGGTAGCTGCTCATACCTCAGAATCGCAAGGAAGGAATTGCATGAATTTGGGTTCGGGGAGAGAAACAATTAGTGCTGGGCACCTCTGAAAGGTATAAATAGGCTGGTTCTGGGAATGTGGAAAATAAGCTCGATCAATTGCTTTTTCTTGGATGAAGAGCTATTGGTGGGATGAGGCCGATAGGATTGCAAGCATATAGAAATGAGTAGATCTCTTTCTCCCTCTTTAGCGTTGTAATCTCACATGGAGTGCTCCTTAGAAAATAGACCAGGTTTCAAGAAAGGGTCATATATGCAAAGCAATCTCCAAACAAGGAAGGAGCCAAGAAACCAAATAATAAGGCAGACAAAATCAGTTTTTTGATAAAGGGTAATTTATTGGGGGAACTTACAGACAGAAGTGTGGCCTGCAGTAGCAAGACAAATAGATCTCCACACCAATACACCCCAGACCCCGGGCTTATATATCATAAGGAAAGGGGATACATGCTCTATAGAGACAATTAAAGACAACCCCCCAGAACAGGCAAGAGTGCTGTGTGCATCATAACCTATATTTGTGTGATAACATCAAGTTTGCTTTGGTCTAAAGGCAGGATTTACAGTAAGTATGTGTTCTTACACTAAGGACAGTAAATAAAGTAGGAATCCGAAGGCATTTATGGGACTGGGGTTAATGAGAAGTCAACATGGTGGATTAGCATCCAAGATGAAGTTAATTTTGTCTCCACATACCAGTAGGAAAAAAAAAAAGCTAGCTTGCAGAATGCCAGGGTAGGCATTGAAGAACCAAACATAGAAAAGTGTGTTCAATGCTAGGAGATAGCTTAATAACTCATAGTTGGCAAAGTCTGTTATTTCTACCTCCTAAACTCTAGAGTTTATCCTATTCTCTCTATCCACACTGCTGCTCTTCTGCCCCAGGTAACTATTATCATGCAGCTGACCTAATGCAATAACCTCCTAACTAGTTGCTGTTTCTTTTTTCCTGCCTCAGATCCACTCTCTGTACAACAGCCAGAGTGAGCTTTATTATATAAATAAAATTCTGATTACAACACTCCTCTACTCAAATCTCTCCAATGGGAGCCAATTTTACAGTAAGTAGCTAGTCAGACATGAGCAGAGTAGGAGAGGGCTCCCCCCACCCACCAGGAATGTCAGGTGAACATCAGGTGATAGTAAGGAGGTTGTTAACCGTCTCTCTAAAATAATAGTTGAGGGCCAGGCGTGGTGGCTCATGCTTGCAATTCCAGCACTTTAGGAGGTCGAGGTGGGCAGATCACCTCAGGTCAGGAGTTTGAGACCAGCCTGGCCAACATGGTGAAACCCCGTCTCTACTAAAAATACAAAAATACAGGTGGCAGGTGTCTGTAATCCCAGCGACTCTGGAAGCTGAGGCAGGAGAATCGCTTGAACCTGGGAGGTGGAGGTTGTAATGAGCTGTGATTGTACCACTGCACTCCAGCCTGGGCAACAGAGCAAGACTCCATCTCAAAAAAAAAAAAATTATATATATATATATATATATATATATATATATAAAATAACAATTGGTCACAGCCAGTGCCAGGGAAAGGCAGTCTCCCAATAGACAGAAAAAACTTGAAACTGGTGATCAGCAGCTTCCTGATAAGATCTCAGGAGTTGGGCGAGTGGGTTCAAGCATGCACATTAAGAGGCAGAATGGCAGAGTTTAACTGGTATATTACCTTCTAGGGACATTCAGCTGGTAAGAGAAGAGTGCTTCAAGTAAGCATGCATACAACTCCAGTAAACACACTGTGCATGCTCCCCTCCCAAATCCTGGTGGGCCACTGCACATGTGGACAGCCCACCAAAGGGCAGAATCAGGGGAGAAGGAATGCAGGACCCTGGAAGTATGCCAACGTATAAAAACCCCGAGTCAAAAGTCAAACTGCACACTTGTCTTTCAAGTTGCCCACTTGGTCCTCTTCCAAATGTACTTTACTTTGTTTATTCCTGCTCTAAAGCTTTTTAATAAACTGTCGCTCCTGCTCTAAAACTTGCCTTGGTCTCTTCTTCCATCCTATGGCCCCCAGTTGAATTCTTTCTTCTGAGAAGGCAAGAATTGAGTTTGCTGCAAACCCACACAGATTCACTGCTGGCTGGTGACATATTTTGGTGCCGTGTGACTCAGATAACTTCCACTGCTAATGTCAATGTTGGACAATGTTAGATAATGTTGAAGGATTAAGATATCAGCGTAAAACTGAGTTTCTGTGGACTATACTTCTTTGTTATGCTCTACTGAACCCCTCTTGGGGGGAAGTCTTTGGGATACACCTTACAAGAGACTCATCTCTCACAGACAGTTGGCTGCTGGTCAGTGGAGGTTGGCTGCATTTACAGCCAGGATCAAAGGATGCCACTAATTTTAAGTCCCTAGTGTTTAATTCAGATTAAACACTAGGTTTATTTCTTGACAGAAGACATTTGTCTTCTTGACAGTGTTATTTCTTGACAGAAGACATTTACCTGTGAAAGCTGTTTTCTGGAACTTCTTTTCTTTACCTGTCTTTGTAATTATAGGCTCAAAATTGCCAGAGGAAGAACCCTAAACACTTAAAAATATATCTGTTTATCCAACTTCATTCTGACAATATGCCTCCGTATTCCAATTTGACACTATAGTTTACGAAGTCCTCTTCCTTCACCTTTAATTCTCCTTTTGGCTTAGACTAGAGTTTCTCTACATTAGCACTCTTCTGAGCTGGGTAATTCTTTGCTCTGAGAGGCTGTCCTGTGCACTGTAGGATGATTAGCAGCTTCCCTGGCCTCTGCTCCCCACATTAGAGTACCATGCTCCCACTCCTAGTTGTGACCACCAAAAATGTCTCCAGACATTGCCAAATGTCTTTAGTTTCCAATAAAACGACGTTCTCCATTAAGCAACATAATTTTTTAGTGTATGTATGTCCCATATGACATTTCAGAAATTTATCTGAAATTCAAATTTAACTGAACATCTTATCTTTTTCGTTGCTAAATCTGCAGTCTATCTGGGGGCGAGATAACCCCTGGTTGAGACCCAATGGCCTAGAGTTAAATCCAAGTGTTTTACAAATAACAATGAGTCAACTGCTTTTTTCATTGGTTTGTTTTTTGAGCTAACCCTACATCATTTGCAATTATAATGAGTACTGTTCCTTTAGAACCAGATGTTGTCAAGAGATGCAGAATCTAATAAAATGAGTTTTGATCCTGATTGAAAGTTAAAGAAACATTTAGAGCTCAGTCAGGGAGGAAAGAGCTTGAAGAAGAAAGCTAGCAGCAACCTTAGGAGAGAAGCAATGACAGTGAAGAGTTCTGTCCACACAAATTAGTTGAAAGAGGTTACAAAAGAGGCTACCAGAGGTTACAAAATATTGCATAACAGAGTGAAGTACCCAATGGATATACCATTAATGTTTTTCTAAGTCAATGGGAAGACACTTAAATGTCTTAAGAGTCTACAGAAATACAAAATCAAACCAAGCCAAAGAGGAAGTCAGCTGCAATTTTAGTGGGTATTGCAGACTTCCCTCTCCTCCAACGGAAGAATTAGCTAATTCTTAAACTCCAGAGAGGCTGGCCTCGATGTCAACTGCATAGTGAAACATAAAATCTTTGAAATAATTATAAAAATAGCTCAGTATATCCACCAGTGGAGTAAGAAGAATTTCCCTGAATATTTATAAGCACAGGCCTAGTATCCTGGTCACTAGTTTCTGGCCACTAAGGAGCCTCAACTGATTGGGAAAATCACATCAATTGGTTTGAGATGGTTGAACTATTTCTTCCATGATATTATTGAGCAAATAGGCTTGCTGCCCCCTGCTCACAGAAGCCAATATCTGGACACTGGGTTTTGAGGAAAGAAAAACTTTATTGCAAGACAGGTCAGCAAGGAGACAGGAGGTGGGCTCAAATCTGCCTCCCCAGTTTGGAATCTGAGAAAATGTATGGCTTAGAGGGTGAGGGAAAGGATTTAGGAATGTTGGTTTGGCAGGGACTGATTGAAGGGCTTCAAATTTGACCACTAAAGGTAAGGTATGTTGAGGCAGATTTCAGCCCTGGATCTTTTGGGCCAATGAGCCCCTAGCTTCTGAAAGAGGTCCTGCATTTAGGTTCCCGTCATGTCCTTGTCTTCTTGGTTCCCAGGGGAGGGATCATTTGTTCTAGGTTCTGTTAGAGGCAAAAACATTTTTATTGTGCATGCCTGGGCTAAATGACTTACAGTTTTTGGCTCTGTTATATCTACAGAGTAAATTGACATTTGTTATCAACAAAGTACGGCCCATTTGGGCTGGTCCCATGGTTATAATGGGTGTGTGGACGGTCGAGTGTTTCAATTCTGGGAAAGTTTGATGTGATTGTATTCAGTTCAAGGAAAATGTGTGAATGATATCATATATAGCATATAAAATGTTTACAATATTTAAGAGATTGGGCATACTAGCATGTTTGATAAATAAATTGATGATGCAATTTAAAATGCATAACAGAGTATTTGATTTTAGACTTATGATTTTTAAATTGAATATTATAAAGTAATTTGGCTAAATGTGTGAATAGTATTGGAATATTTAAAACAACTTAAGATTTATTATGTTAGTAAATTTATTAGTTTACAAAACTGCATAAATAGCTGGAAAAGCGTTACTTGTTAGGCTGAGAATTTTGAAGATTATTTTTCAAGTTCTTTGCCAGACACGTGTGGCTCTCACAAGTAAGTTTGTTGGTCTCTAGCCTTTCTCAATGGCCACTGAAAACCAGATTTTGATTACGAAATGTCTGAAATACAGTATCTTGGTTTGAACCGTGAGTCCTTCCTGCCAATGTAAGAACTTTTCTTCCTCCCTTAACTTTGCTTCCTTCTTTCCTGCATGTTACCACTGGCAGAGCAAATATGACTCAGAAACCGGCTCCTCAGGGTTGTAACATTAGATGATACAGGCTTGGGTCGTTACACATGACACCAGTGCCTTTGTTTCATTGGGCTGGGCTCTCTGGAAGGTGTGCTGCTGCCTGAGCTGCTGGAAAAGCACTGACAGGTGTTTGCTAGAAAAGCACTCCTGGAGCTTGCCACCAGCTTGGACTTCTAGGGACTTTCCTCTCAGCCAGGAAGGATTTTGATATTCATCAGAAATACCTCCAGAAGATTCAAGGAGCTGTAGAGGTGAAGTAAGCCTGTGAAGGACCAGCATGGGAATCCTATACTCTGAGGTACATCACCTTTCTGAAAGCAGAGTTCCAAAGATGTTAAAAGTTACTCATGCTTTTCAGATGCAATTTTCTATCCCTGTTAATATATTTCTGTTTTGTCTGTTCAACTCCCTGGGGGAGCATTAAGTCAGAAAAAATAAAGTCCTATGTGTTATTCTTGTTGATATTCTTAATAGTTTAAGACAAAGTATTTTGTAATTCTAAAATATTAGCTAGATCTAAGTTGAGATGAATATAATACACATTTCATAGTATCTGGATGTTTGCAAGGATAATTTGGACAAAATCGAGTTTGAGTTGTGCTTTTCTCATGACAAACACTCAGAGAAAAAGAGAAAATTGTACTCAATTGGATTTTCTAAATATCCAAAAGATTGACTGCCTCTTTTATGGAACCACATGACCAGAGTAATGCCTTTCAGCTTGGTATTTGAAGGGAGATTCACCTTTAGTAAATATTAGTAAAGACTATCACTATGAAGAAGAGGAATAATAACATATTTTGATGATTTGATTATTTTCTTTTCACATCTGATAAATACTGAGGTACTTTTACTTGTATTGGAAGTAACTTATTAGAATCAAATGGATTTTTAATGATGTTTCAAGAAAGTACAAGCAAGGAATGTTTAGACAAGAGTACAAGAGGTGTAATGATGTCATTATACATAATTTACTCTCTCTCTCCTCTGACACAATTAACTGGTTAATCTGCATTTCATTGCAGATGCTCAGGGGAACCTTCTTGGATAGTTTTGATCTAGTATTAAAGACAGTTTATTTGCAGTTATTTCTAATGCCATGTGTGTATATATCTCTCCGTGTGTGCAAATGCAGTGTTTGATTGGTTTATAACTCTAGGTATGTCTTGCTCAGTGATTTTAGCCTCATGAAGGGATCATATACATGAAAATGACAAAACATATAGTGCTTTTAAATGCTACTCTGGTAACTCTCAAACTTTAGACTGCCCAAGTGTCAGGGAGAGAAGTTTGTTTGAAATGCAGTTTCAAGGGACTCCAACCCAGAGAGTCTGTTTCACTCAGTCTATGGTAGGATACAAAAGTATACTTTTTAAAAGGAGCATCCCAGGTGGTTCTGACATAGGGGTGATCTGTTTACCACCATCCTGAGAAAGAAAGACTGCCACAGGCCAGTGCTTTCCCGTTTTTAATGTCTATACAGATCTTCTGAAGGTCTTGTTTAAATGCAGATTCTTAGTTTGTAGACCTGGGTGGGACCTAAGATTCTGCATTTTGGTTGCTTTTTCAGATTGCATGTGGGAATTATATGTGATTTGGAAAAAGGAAAAAAAAAAGCCTAGTCTCATCCTCAGGTATTCTGATGTAGAAAGTTGGAAGTAGGACCTTTCATCTATAGTTTTAAAGAGTTTGAGACTCTTTAAAATTAAATAGTAATCTCTTAAATATTTAAACATAGCCTACTCATTTGTAATATATCATTTGCTCTGTGTTTCCTAAGGATAAAGATTGTGAGCTACTCATTAAGGACAAGAAAAAAGCCTGCTGGATCCCTGGTCCTATGTTGCCTGGAAGAATCTATTCAAAAAAAAAAAAAAAACTTCCCCCAATTTGAGTGCGGGAAGCTCCTCTAGATTGGGGACATAGGGTTATCATTTTTCCTTAGAGCTTTGCAGTGCTAATAGTTATGCAATATATATTTTTAAGAAAGAAGGAGAGAATGAGGGAGGATCCCAGAGAGCTGGTCCTGAAATCTGCACTAGAGGATAAGCTTAGAGCTCAGTGAGAGGCCCTAATTTTGAATAAGTAACTCCAACTGCGTAAGATGGACTTTTAAACAAGGCTGATTCATTTAAACCCTTATCAAAGGTATTTGTTCATAATATTTACAATAGCAACAAACATGTATTTAGGGCTTCTTATAGATTAGGCCCTATTTTAAGCACTTTATATATGTATTAACTCATTTAATACAGCAATCTTGTAAGAGTCACTTTTAGTATCCTTATTTTACAAATGAAGAAACTGAGGAAAAGGTAGTCACTGGCTCATAGTTACACAGTTGAAAAGTGCTTATTGGCTGGAGATTGGTGGCTAGGATGAGTCCTGTGTTTACTCATTCAAAGAGATTCTTCTTACATCACTGCTGAACTACTAAATTTTTCTACTACTTGTTATTTCAACAGATATGTCATGCTCCATAAGAGAATTGGTCTTAACCACTCTGGTGTTCTGCCACTGTTCTAACCAGGATGGTGCCCTGTTCCCTTAGTGGAAAGAATGAGTAAACTAAATCCAGGTCCAATGAGGTACATTCTACTGCTACCTTGCAACAGAGAACTGTTGCATTGTGAAGTAGCACAAAAATCGGAAAGAAGAAAAATGCTGAGAACTTAAAAGAGTTCAGGAACTAATACTTAGGAGACTTAAAGAATCTTTTACAGACTTTTGGTCTCTTCAGTTGCAGACACAGGCCCCAAAAAGCGTTTCTTGAAAATCATATCTTAAATGATGTATTCCTTTAAACATTGGGAAGTTCTCATTATAAGGCTGTAAGTAAAAGGATGCACACACACCCACACACACACACACACACACATGCACATGCACACACACAAACTTAAAATTAATCCTTTGGCAATGGATATGTTTTTCAGAGAAGCTGATGTTACTACAGAAAAAGGAAATATAGTTCAAAAAACAGAAAGATTGTCTTGAAATATACAATGCCTAGGGAGAGCAATTTAGATCAAGCAAGTTTTATTGGAAAAGCTGGTACAGTTGAGGAGGAGAAGTCAGGGAATACAGGAATAGAGATGTGACTAATTGAATGGCCATTGGACTGAAAGTCAAGCAATCCTATATTTTAGACCTGATTGTGCCAGGAACTTCAAGGGATTTGAGAGGAAGTCATTTAACCTCTCTGAGTCACAGTTTTAATATTACAAAACAAGAGAGCTGAATGAGATCTGGTTTCACATTTAACATCGTGTCATTCTGTGATATGAGAAAGGCTAGGCAGAGACAATGGGGAAAAAATTGCATTCTCACAATCTTCCCAGCTCTCTCCATCTACCTTGTTTATGTATGAACTCCTAGCAAGATTTTGGTATTCAACAACATATGCAAGAAGAGCATCAGGCGTTTTCATCCCAACTGGTTTTCTAATTCTTTCCTTGTATATTGAAAGTAATTTTACAAATTAAAATGTTGTGCTAAGTCACAAAAGTTCAGAGAGAAAATGATAACTTTCACATATGAAAAGACACCAGGATTGAAAATGTGTATACCTTTATTTATTTATTCATTCACCCATCCATTTGTTTAATCAACCATATTTATTGAGTACATACTATGTTTCAGGCATCTTCTAGTTCCTGGTGTATATATGTATATATATATGTATATATACATATATACATATATATATACACATATATACATATATATATATACACGCATATATGTTGGGCATCCCTAATCTGAAAATTTGAGTGGAAGTGCTCCAAAACTCCAAATTTTTGAGCACAAACATGAAACAAGTAGAAAATTTCCTACTTGACCTCATGTGATGGGTCACAGTCAAAATGCAGGTACACAATGCACAGTTTACTCAGAATTAACAAGAGAAAAAAGAATTTCCCAGCCCCTTTCGGCTGTGATATATCTTTTTCTTGAACACCCAGTTTTTCCCATGAAAGCAAGTCCACAAAGGGTAAAAAATGGCACCTGTGCAGGATGAATGAGCCTATAGCAGATTTGCCACTCTGCCTCCATGGGGCCAAGATTTGTGTGTATTTCTCTGTGTGTGTCTTTTTTTGTTTTTTGGGGTTTTTTTTTATTTTGTTTTTGTTTTGCTTTTTCTCTACTCTGTGATGTAAATATACTGTTGAAAATATCAAAAAGGTCTGCAGATACTTATGGGTAACAGTGATAAGAAAAAAAAAGGAAGCATTTATGTATACTTATAACACAGAAAGTCAAGCTTTTGGATAAATTGGACAGTGGTATAGGTATAAAATGTCTGATAGAAGAGTATGGTGTTGAGGCCAGGCGCAGTGGCTCATGCCTGTAATTCCAGCACTTTGGGAAGCTGAGGCAGGTGGATCACCTGAGGTTGGGAGTTTGAGACCAGCCTGGCCAACAAGGTGAAACCCTGTCTCTACTAAAAACAGAAAAATTAGCTGGGTGTGGAGGCATGTGCCTGTAATCCCAGCTACTTGGGAGGCTGAGGCAGGAAAATTGCTTGAACCTGGGAGGCAGAGGTTGTAGTGAGCTGAGATCACATCACTGCACTCCAGCCTGGGCAACAGAGTGAGTCTCCATCTCAAAAAAGTAACAATAAAAAAAGAGTATGGTGTTGAAATGACCACCATATATGACTCAAAGAAATAGAAGGATAAACTGTTTAAGTCCTATGCTGAAGTTAATGAAAAATGTAAAAAAACATTCCACAAAGCTACAAATGAAGATCCCAATTGTGTATTGAGAAAGTGGATCCATCAGTATCACAAAGAACACATGCCACTTAATGGTATGCTGATCATGAAACAGGAAAAGATCTATCACGATGAACTGAAAATTTAAAAGAACTGCGAATATGCGTAGTTCTTTGGCATAAATTTAAGAAAAAACATGGCATTAAATTTTCAAATATTTGTAGTGACGAAACATCTGCTGATCAGAAAGCAGCAGAGAAATTTATTGATGAGTTTGCCAAGATCATCACTGATAAAAATTCTCACACTAGATCAAGTCTATAGTGCTGATGAAACATCACTGTTTTGGCATTATTGCTTCAGAAAGACACTGACTTCAGCCGATGAGACAGGCCTTGTGGGCAATCAGGATACCAAGGACAGGATAATTGCGCTGGGATGTGCTAATGCAGCAGGCACACACAAATGTAAACCTGCTGTAATAGGCAAAAGCTTGAATTCTCACTATTTTCAAAGAGTAAATTTCTTACTAGTCCATTATCATGCTAACAAAAGGCATGGGTCACCAGGGACATCTTTTGTGATTGTTTTCACAACATTTTGTAGCAATGGCTCATGCTCACTGCAGGGAAGCTGGACTGGATGAAGGCTGCAAGATTTTGTTATTCCTTGACAACTTTTATGCTTATTCTTCAGCTAAAATTCTCATCAAAAGTAATACTTATTCCATGTGCTTTTCCCCAAATGTGACTTTATTAATTTAGCCATGTGAGAATGGTGTCCTTAGATCAATCAGTGTAAATATAAAACATTTTCGTAAACAGTATGTTATCAGCAGTGAACATAGGTGTGGGTGTTTCGCATAAAGGATGTTGTATATGCTGTTGCCAATGCTTGTAATGCAGTAACTAAAGACAGTTGTGCATACCTGGCATAACCTCTGTCCTGCAACTATGTTCAGTAAGTATTATAAATAAAGTGACTTTGAATGATTCTGTATGTCAAATGAGAAAAAAAAAAGATGTCTGACCATACATACGCAAAAAAAAGTACCTTCAGAGTCCACCAGTAAGTTGGAAGAAGTTGATATTGAAGAAATTTTTAACACTGATAATGAGGCTCCAGTTGTTCATTTATTAACCAATGGTGAAATAGCTGAAATGGTTCTGAATCAAGATGATTGTGATAATAGCAATAATGACGATGGTGGTTAACACTGTAAAGACTTTGTCAGGGGCCAGATCAGGCAGGTCTTGTAGGCCAAGGTGAAAAATTTAGATTTTATGCAAAACACAATGGAAAGCGGGTAAAGGATCTTAAGAGAGGAATAATATGACCATTAGGGTTTAAAAAGGCCACTCTGGTAGCATGGGAGAATAAATTTGAGAGATGCCAGAGGGAAAGCTGGATCTTGGAAGGAAGCTGTTACAGTAGTTTATGGAGTGATAATGATGGTTGCATTAGACTAATGGGTGAATTTTAGATAAATTTTTAACTAAAAGATTTCCTGGTTTGTAGGTTGGCAGTGAAGGAAAGTAAGAAATTAAAGTTGATACTCAGTATTCTGCCTTAGGCCAGCCAGTGGATGGTGGTGCTGATGAGATGGGAACACTCAGAGAGGGGCAGAAGGAAAGACACATTTCAGGGTTCTATTTGGACATGGTACTTTAGCGATATCCATGAGACATCTAGGTGGGGATGGAAGATGAATACAGGAAATGTACCTTTAAGGAGAGGCTCGGGCAAGAGATAATAATTTAGGAGTTGTCTGCATATACATGGTATTTAACGCCAAGAGAAGGGATGAGTTTAGACATGGAAAGAATGTAGAGATAGCAAAGGATACCAGGTCATTGTAGGAAGGTATGGTCTTGCCAGAGAAGGAAGGCAATATTAAAGGACAACCTCCTTTGAGCACCCTTGGAGCTTGTAACACTCAAGAAACATACGCATTTAGTCAAACAGGAGATTTTCTGGGGTTGAGGGGGAAACACATTTTTCTTTATTCAACATTGAAAACTTAGGGAGTTTCAACTTTTGTATGTGAAGTGAGCTGATCAGCACCAAAAGTGGTGAGGAGAAGTGAGTTTCTCAAGTTTTGTAAGAGGACAGGACAAGACAAAAACAGCTTGTGCCCCAGAAGTTCTCCTTGTCTAAGAGCCCACAGCAGGAATGTATAATTGTTAAGAAGCCAGCTAAGAAGCCAGCTGTTGAGCTCAGAAAGACAGGTTCAAAGCTCATCTCCACTATTATCAAGGAGAAAGTGGGAGAGAAAAAAATCCCCGAATAAACTTGTTTTCTAAGGGGAAAAATAAGTCATTTTATTTGTATATGCCTTCTACAATATAAGCTTTTATTTCATATATGTGTGCATATCTATTGAAATAACAAATAATTTTCAGCTAGAAAAATTGTGGCTTTTTTTTAATCAACTAAGGAAATCCCACTTGTAATTTTAAAGGAAATCTAGATTATCTGAGATGAGATAAGAAGGCATAAAAGGGATCTTTTACTTTTAACCATAAAGATTCCTTAGATTCTAAACAATAATTACTTTAATTAAAAATCTGTAATGTTTACTTATGTTATAGAAACAGCTCTTGATACATAGCTCCCCTAATCTTAAAGTTATTAAGATTAGAAATACCTTTTTTGGAAAACTGAAAAAGAGATGAGAATGGGAGGCGTTTACTATTTGGAAACCCATAAAGTACTATTTAATACAACAAAATGGTTTACATACTAATTAACTGGGAAGTCTTAACACTAACTTTCTAAACTGAAGGTAGATTTTGTCAAAACTCTGCTAACATTTCCCATCAAACATAAAATAAAATTCAAAGTCCTAACCATGGTCTACGAGACCCAATTTTCCTTGGTCCCATTTGCTTCCCAAATTTCCCGCCACTCCCCTTGCTCATGCAGCCATGCTGACCTTCCTGCTATTCCTAGAACACATCAAATCGAGCTCTTGTCTCAAAGGGCTTGACAGTTGGATTCCCTTTGTCTGGAAGTTTCTTCCTCCTGAAAGTTACCTGGCTCATTCCTTCACTTAAGACAGATCATGGATCTCTGCTTGAATCTCACCTTCAAGAGATCTAAAAGAGTGGCTTTGTCATTCTTTATGTATTCTCTTACTGTGCTTTACTGAAGTATTATAATTTTTAAAAATGTCGGGTTTGTTAGATGAAAGTGGATTTGAGAGTCCTATGTGTTATGATTTTTATGATTCCCAGTTTGCAGGTTGCCGAAGAGAAAGGTATAATGATAGCTTCCCTGACCTAAATGTCGGTTTAATAAACATGTGTCTATCTTGTAGAAAATAATATAGTAGGTTATGTGAGAGTTACAAGAATGTAAGAATAAAACATTTGTTTTCTCCAAAGAATTTACTGCAGTCATAAGGCCAGACACAAATAATTCTCCCAATGAAATCCCTTGTGGGAAATTCTTGATGTTAGTTGATTTCTAATTTGCCACAACTCAACTTTCCTGCCTTTAATGGTCAAATTTATTTTAATTGGACTTTATAGTAATAACCAAAAACTTACTTGTTACACTGAAATAATACAACTAATCCTGGAACCCTAAAGTCCACACCCTTTTTTAGCTAATTGGTGCCACTAAAGTAAACAATTTTGAAAAATGAAAAAGATGCTAATTGCCTTGATGCACCATCAGACCACATGAATCTTCAGAATCAAGCAAGCATTTCTGCAAAGGCAACGTTTTCTCCCAACATGCTTAAGATTAGGCGTGATGAGGATTTGAAAGGGGATTTTAGCACTATGGTTTTGTGGCTTTACCAACAGTTGACCTTTGGCAGGTATCAAGATCATATTATGCTTAAAACAAGGTGGGATGAGGTCTTTCAGCAACCTCAGGACTTCCCGTTTCTATATATGTGAATGAGAATTTCTTCCGCCACAGAATATTCAAGACACAAGGAATTGGAGGTAAGAGTTGATTTTAGGAAAAGGAGGTGAAGTAGATGGCAGGCAAGAGAAGAAGCTTTTATAGAGAAGCCTTCCTTGAGAAAAGTAAATGAAGATGAGGTCAAGAAACAGTGGCTTCAGAGCTGCACGCTAATGGAAGTCAGCCCCTACCTGGGAAGTAGTGGTAATTTCTGGGACATAAAATCAGAAAGTCATCATACATTTGAATGAAGGACCAGAGAGGAAAAAAATAATTGTCTTCAGTATTAGTATGATCCAAAATGGAGTAAAAACTATTTGCAAATATATTATTGAAACTGCAAATCACAGTAGACCTATAAAATTTCCTGTAAGCAAGAATTGGCAAGTAACAATTCATAACACTATGTCTATTATTACCACATTACAATGTGTGAAATGTTACTGATATTTTTTTCCTGTCATTATTTTTCCAAGTATGTGAAACATTTATAGTTGTTTTTATAGGTTCACTTACATGCTAGTCCTCTAATCCAAATTCTTTAACTGAATTTAAGGGGATTTTAGTAATTTTGTTAACTCTGCAGATGCTTGGGAAGGTTTGTCGTATAACATGATACAGAATGTGATGAATGCTATTATGTACCTCTTGTGAGTATCTACTGGGTTTTCATCATCTCTGTATCCCTAGAGCCTAGCACAGTTCTCTTGGAAAGTATTGAGATCTCAAAGTCTGTTGAATTGAATTGAAGAAAATAATCAAGGACTATAGGCACTCCTGGAACTTTTGTGGGTAGAGTTTATTATAAATTAGTGCATGGAGTTGCATAGGAGTGGAGAGAGGCTTAATGGGTTAAAACACTGGTTCTGGAGTTAGATAGACCAGAGTATAAATTCTAGTTATGCTACTCACTAGCTATAAAGAGCTCTGAGCCTGTTTTCTCATCTGTAAAGAGGGATAATATTATTTTTGTTCTAAGATTGCTGTAAGGGTTAAATGAGATGCTGCTAAGGTGCTTAGCATTACAGATGGTATATAAAAAGAGTTCAGTATATAGTAGGTATTATTACTGTGAAACTTTTTACTGTTATTTTTTATTTTTCCCAAAGGAGACTTACATTTAGAGATTTAGTGCTAAAATACCTGTTTAGGTCCATTAAATGTTTAGAGACATTGGCTGCTGAGAGTTCAAATCCTGGGCCCTTCCCCAGCCAAACTGTCTTCTACGTTAAGAATAAGACAGTGTAGAAAAGTCTTGGGATGTCAAAAGGTAAAATGAGGCACGGTTAAGCTCAAAAGAATTTATTTGAGCAAATACCGATTCAGGAATTGGACAGCTGTGGTTTGCAGGCTTTTTGGAGGGAATGCAAGGAGAAGGCTTTTATAGGGTGAAAAAGGGAGTAAAGCACAGAAAATATTTGATTGGTTGCAGTTATAGAGTTGCTTTATTTGGTCGATTCTGCTGGAAAGTCTCTATGTAAGTTAGGCTTCTGATTAGTTAACTTGGTTTCATTTTTCTTTAATATAGGGATTTATAAGAAATAGCTGAAGTTAAGTTTTGCTTATGTTTGCAAATTGAGCAAGGTTAAGGTCACTTATGAGGTCTAAATGGATTTGTCTGGCCCAGAGATTCTTCAAGCCTGGTCTCCATTATAACTTACTTTAACGGAAATATATGCCAGTTCCTGTTGCTGGTGTATTGGAGCAGGCTGGAGCTGGCTTGAGTCAGCTTGAACTGGTTTGTGAAAGCCAATTTTGCTCAACTCTGAGTTCGTTGCTCTCTCTTTTGTAGGTTGAAACTAGCCAGGTGGGAGTGGTTACACCAATGAAATGGAAGAAGACCACAAAGGTTTTCTTTCTTTCTTTTTTTTTCTCTTACTCCCTCCTTTTGTAGAACTGGATGTTACCTAGTTATGGGCACCCTACTGCCTTCTCTCTTCTCTGTGAATACCTCTGTGGTGGTCTGAGGTAGTAGGGGAATATCAGGGCTTCTGATTTGCCATTTTCTAGCAGCCAGAACCCACTCTTCCTCCACCCTTACTCCTCGCTGGAGGTGAAGGATCTTCTGCTTTCCCCTGGTCCTCATGACCTCAGAGTTTCTGATGTCCTGGAGTCAGAAGTGTGGCAATGGGGTTTTTTTAGCTTCCTGGCAAGGAACATAACTTCATGTTCTCAAACAGACCTTTCAGGATAAAGAGTAGAAAACATAGATCAATATGTGCCCTGCTTCTATTTCCCCTTCTGCTATCGTTCATGAGGAACTATGACTTCTCTACACGTTCCAGCCAGTGGTGGGACCTTCCTCCATGTTACACAGAGACGGAGTGGGCCTAGAACAGCCTTTAAAAAATTATTGCGACTTTTTTATTTGTCTGAAAGAAGACATTTCCTAAGGAATTTATAAAATACAGTATGTGAAGAGTGAGTTATCAGAAACAAAGGCTTGGGATTAATTGTAGAAATCAAATTAAACCCAATAGGTTTTTATTATCATTCTCCAAGGTTTCTTAACTTGAAGAGAAAGAAAAACATCTTCCTTCCTTTTCTGAGAAGACATTTCGTGAATCACAAGGCTCTTTACCGGAATCATTTTGCTCCAAAACCTACAAATCCTTCTCAGAAGTTTTCATGGAACATTTTAAGTGAGGGGAGCTTGTAGCATGGAGATGGCTAATAAACAGTGAACCAATTCCTCTGAGCCACAGGCAAAGTTCTACACAGTCTTTCCTTAGATTGGGAATTACAGAAGCTCCATTATACTTTAGGGAAAACAACACTAAAAAGTGGGGGTAATTTGGGGGAAGCTTTGCTTTTAAAGACATCCATAGTGGTACAAGTTGTTCAGATGTTTCTACACTATTAAAATAACAACAAATATTTTTTCAGCTGTGATATCTATTGTACTTAGAGCAGTGCAAAATATTATTAAGTAATACATACAGTTAATCATCAACATGCTGATTATTTTAGTTAATCATCAACATACCGGATGCGTCATATTCTACCCATGGACGCTTCTTAAATTTTAGTGCCTGGGCAAGTAAGATGGAAGTGAACAGAGTGAAACCTTACCTCCAAATTCTTGACTCCTTTTAAAGACAAACATGTGGGAAGGCAAAAGGACACAAAAAATTTTTCCTAATGTTCCATTATTCCAGAGTTTTGAATGCTCCTTAGCTAATGTGAGTTTAAAAGCTGCAATGTTACATTAAATTTTTACTTCCATTATGGGGGGCTTGTTTCTTTTACCTTTGCAGAGATTCTCAACCCTCACTGTGCATCAGAATCACCAGGGAAATTTAAAGAGCACTAATGCCCCAATCCTATTCTTACAGATTCTTATTTAACTGGTCAATAGTGGGGCCTGGGTCGTGTTTTAAACATTAAGTTGGTGCAAACATGATTGCAATATTTAGCCAAGGTTGAGAACCACTGAGGCGAAATATTGTCCTGGTCCTTACATGATCGATTACCTTCTAAACATCAACCCCTTTCCTAGCCTCACTTCCCAGCCAGATCGGATGAATCCATGTGTCAACCAACAAATGACTTTTATCCATGTTCTGGGTGCTTGACCTTATGGAAGCCTAACTTCAGGAGGGTTACAGTCTAGTTAAGGAGACTACATTTAACCCACTAGCTCATTTAAGGCCAATGAGCTGCTTGAGGTTCTGTATATTTCCTGCTGCAGGTAGGAAAGATGAAAGAGATTTCTTGGAGATGAACCATGAGATGGGCCTTGAAGAATAGATAGCACAATTTAAAAGATAAGGATGGCAAGCCAGTAGCCCAAACATAGAAGTGAGGAAATTGACCTGACCAGAGATGGGAGAGCTTGCAGAACAGCAGTGGTTTATACACAGTTGGCCCACTGAGGGGCACTTTAAAAACCAGGTAAAAGTCATAGATACCTCACTTTCTAGGAACTTGGGCACATTACACCCCATTTCAATACCAATTAGTGCAATTTAAAAAGATAAAACAAGATTATGTGAGAGAGAGAAAGTTCCTGGGCTGGGAGGCTGAGTGGTCAGGGAAGTCCTCTCTGAGGAGGTGATTCATGGGCTGATACTTGATCTGGCCTAGCAGGAAGCCCGCCATATAGGTCACATGCAAGTGTAAAGGCCAGAAGACAGAAATGAACCTGGAATGCCCCAGAAATCACCACAAAGTTGTGAGCAAAAGGGAGATTGATAGATGAGGCTGAAGAGAAAAGTTAGTCAGTGGGCCCTATCAATCCTGTGTCTTAGCTTTTCAGGTTGTCCAGAGCACGGCTCTAGGGAGCGCTGTTCACAGGTTAGCCCATGGGAACTCATGCACCCTGCTGGTAAATACTCCTTCTCTTCAATCTCCTCCTCGCCTACTAGTCTGTTTTCCTCTGTGCCTTCACTGAAATCTGGCTTTTCCTGGGCATTATGACACCTTCTCTTATGGTGGCTGCTGATTCAGTCTACTTCTTGGTCACCGTTGTTTTTTGACCATGGTTCAATTTCTTACTTGAAATCTCTGCTTATGGCCCTTTCTCTACATTCTCCCTTCTGTCCACTGTATTCCAGGGCCCACTTCCACCTCCCTGGAACACAAGTTCCCCTTTCTTTCTGTCCCCCGGGGTCATCCTCAGTGACCTCAACATCCATAAGCTTCATTCTCCCTTCTTGACCTGTGTTTCTACTCCAAATCAGATACCCAACAAGGCCACCCTTGACTTCTCATCCCTAGACAGAGTTTATCTGTAACATCTCTCTGATAACTTCTAAACTGGTTACTTTTCTAATAGACCACATGTACGAACTGTGCTCTGATCCTTCTCTGTGTTTCTATTTGCTTGTCTCTCTCTTTTTGCAAGTTCATTTGTCTTTATCTGGCTTACATATGATGCCCATTAAGACTGAATTTAATGGTAAACCACTCTCCTCTCATTTCTCTTGCCTGACAGACATGTTTCCTAATCCTTGCTCTTGCCCTCTTCACTTTCTGTACTCTTCCCTCATCTAGGTTTGCTGAAGAAAATCACAAACTCACATGGCAGGCTCAGTCAACTCTATCTTCTTACTGTGTTTCTACAACCTGGTTTTCAAAGCCATTTTATATTTTTATTCATTTCATGTAGACAGTTTTAATTACGATGGTCCAAAATCTTCCCCATCATGCTCAAAAGTCTCATCTACCCTTGTCTCAATCACATCTCCTGTCATTAATCCATTCATCTTTTTAAATGTCAATGCTATTTATTTAGTTATTGGATTAGTCTGTTCTCATGCTGCTAATAAAGATATACCCAAGACTGGGTAATTTATAAAGGAAGAAGTTTAATTGACTCACAATTCCTCATGGCTGAGAAGGCCTCACAATCTGGCAAAAGGCAAATGAGGAGCAAAGTCAATCATGGCAGCTGGCAAAAGAGAGCTTGTGTAGGGGAACTCCCCTGTATAAAACTATCAGATCTAGTGAGACTTATTCACTATCATGAGAACAGCATGGGAAAGACCCACCCCTATGATTCAATTACTTCCCACTGGGTCCCTCCCATGACATGTGGGAATTATAGGAGCTACAATTCAAGATGAGATTTGGGTGGAGACACAGCCAAACCATATTAGTTATCTAGATGTATCTATTTATTTATGACAAATATATAGTAGTATAATGAATGAAGATCAAACCTCTGACTTTCTGGCAAAAATTTCAGTCAGTCTAAACTTCTTTCCATCCATGTAGCTCTCTTTTCTCCCTTGCTTTGGCCTTAGAGCCAGAATTTTCCTTCTATGTAGGAGACTAATGTTTCCATCTTAATGCTCTCTATCCTATCATCTCTTCACTCTCTTTGATCAATTATCTACCCTCTCATAACCACTCCTGTCCATCTTCATTGGCTCCTTATGCTTTAATAATTATAAGAGTAGCTAACATTAATTGAGGGTTTACTGTGACTCAGATCTGAGCTAAGTGCTTCATCTGCACAGTTACATTTAATTCTTTCTGAAACTTATAAAGAAGGCATGATTATCAAAAGCAGAAGGAAACTTAGCATGAAGAGTCTAGGTAACTTGTCCAAATAACATAGCTGTTAAGTCGCAGAGTTGAGATTGGAACCCAGAGAGTTTGTTTCCAGAGCCTGGATTTGTAACCACTTGATGACACCACTTTGCCTACAAACGTGTGGAACGTTGGCTGGACACTGCTACCCCCCTCTTTGAAGTCTCTAGCTTTCCCTAACAGCTTTTTCACTGCCAAACTGACTACAATTCCTCTCCAATTGCATCCTCTAATTCTTCATAGACAATGTGCTCAGGCCTCTGTATTCTTCCTTCAGCCCCATCACTGTATGAAAATTGGCCTCTGCATGGCTGCTAATGATCACATTCAATGATCTTTGTCTTCCTTCTTGAAACTTTCACTTCTTTGCCTTTGAGTCTTAACGTTTTTCTGTTTCTTCTGCAGACTCTCTGATGACACTTCTTATCTCTTGGTGGATATTGCTGATTCTAGGTCAGGTTGGAGAAGGAGTCTGGATGTATAACCAGTATAACCAGCAAGTCAGTGCCACAAGTGGACAGATCAATATCCCGAATACAGACTGTAGCTTAATTTTGGACACAAATATCAAATGCGAAGTCTTGTAGCCAGAAGACATTTTGAAGGCTGATTTTTAAGACTAAAGTGATTGGAGATAGAATGTACGCATTCTGCAGTCATTCCCCTTGATTTGACTCTTGGCCATGCCAGTTGTGAACTATGTCACTTTGGGCAAGGAAAACAATTTCCCTTAGTTTCATCTGTGCAAAACAGGTATATTAATACTACTTTAGAGGGTTGTTGTGAGGATTAATATAGAATAACTGAGCTACTCAATAACTGTTAGCTCATCTTATAATTTCTTCCTTCTCTTATTTACTCACTAAGTACATATTGAATGCCTACCATGTGCCAGGCACTATGTTATGGGGGTACAATGATGAATCAGTACAGACAAAATGTAGCCTCATGTAGTCACAGTGCCCTTATATAGCTTACAGTCTAGCTGGGGAGATGGCTGTTAATAACACACATACCTTTATTTAGATCAAGGGTGTGGATAAGACAGTGGTAGGAGATGAAGTTGTAAAAACGGCATATGGAACACGTGAGATTGAAAGAATTGTGTGCAATAGTCTTGGTGAGAATGATGAAGATCTGAAGCAGTACTTTAGCAGTGAGGATGGACAGAAGGGTTCTGAGACTATTAGGGGATAGAGTTATTATAATAATTTCCCAAGTGTGTTTCTTCTACACCCAGGGTGCCCCCAAATTACAGAGCTTAAGGGGTTAAAAGGGGTTTATGATAGCTTTTCCAGCAACCCAAATGGACAACCTCTTCTCTTTTTCATACCTGGCTTGTGAACCAGCACTTTCTATTGGACTTCCCTTCTGCCCGCTGTCAGTGCTTTTCTTACGCTGCGCTGCCCCCTAGTGGAAACCGCAAGTTCATAACAGCATGGAGTCTTCAGCGTTAGTGCGACTCTCACATTAAATTATAGTCATGCACCACATGATGTCACGATCAGCAATGAACAGCATATACAGCAGTGTTCCTATAAGATTATAATGGAGCTGCCCTATACAGGTGTACCATTTTATCTTTTACGCTATATTTTTACTGTATATTTTTATATGTTCACCTATGTTTAGATGCACAAATACTTACAATTGTGTTACAACTGCCTATAGTATTCTGTACAGTAACATGCTGTATAGGTTTTTAGCCTAGAAGCCACAGGCTATACCATATTAGTAATAGGCTCTACCATCTAGGTTTGTGTAAGTAAACTCTGTGATGTTCCCACAATGACAAAATCACCTAACAACACATTTCTCAGAACGTATCCCTGTTGTGAAGTGAAGTATGACTGTACTTGTGCATCTCAGCCGAGAAGGAAGACACTTAGCTTCCTGGTAACTCTGTGTCTTGGATCTAGGAAGCCTAAGAAAGACTAAAGATAGGGTTAGTATTTTACATAATATTGCTCAAATGGGGTTGAGAAAGCCCTCAAAAGCACTGAGTGACTCTTGCAGAACAACTCCCCATCTTTTCCTCTTCTTCTTTTTAGTTAGCTCTTAGTAAAGACTTTGAGAAGCCTAAGCAGAGAGCTCCTGGAGGTCTATGTTACCAGGCAGGTAACATAGATGAGTGAAGAGAACCAGTGTAATGTGATGGCGAGTGGTGGGGACTGTGGAGAATTGGAGTCACTGCCACTAAGCACCAGTTATTTGGTATCCTACAGGAATATGGGCCCAGTGTTAGCAAAACTTTCTCTTTTTTTTCTTTCTTTTTTTTTCTTTTTTTGAGGCAGAGTTTCGCTGTGTCGCCCAGGCTGGAATGAAGTGGCGCGATTTCGGCTCACTGCCGAATCAAGCGATTCTCCTGTCTCAGCCTCCAGAGTAGCTGGGATTATAGGCACCAGACACCATGCCCTGCTAATTTTTTTATTTTTGTATTTTTAATAGGGATGGGGTTTCTCCATGTTGGCCAGGCTGATCTCGAACTCCTGACCTCAGGTGATCCACCCACCTCGGCCTCCCAAAGTGCTAGGATTACAGGCGTAAGCCATCGCGCCCAGCCAAAACTTTCCATTTTTAAAGAGAAGCTGGAAAGCCAGATTAATACATGAAATATTCTAGTTTTTTAAATGTTGTTAAGTTATTTAAATATTTGAGAAAAGAGAAAAAGAGCTCTAAAGCCACTTGTTTCCAAGCTATTCATGGTAGACCACCAATTTCCAAATGCTTGATGAGTAGTGCTCACTGCTAATCACTCCATTATTAAATTTTCACTAGTTTATGGTAAAATCTTTTAAAAGGACAATAAAATGAATTTTTCTATAAAGCTAACTAAATCTACCCAATATAAAGAACTGCTTTCCCCCTGGTGATTATATTCTTACATATTTTGTTAAAATACCCTTCATTTATCTTTGTATTTGTTAAAATATCTTTTATGAAATAATAGTATTGTTTTAAATACATTTAATTGAAAAATTAAGAGTTGGTGACTTAACACTGTCTTGTTGCATTTAGTTTTGTTTTACTTATTTTTGAACTCCAAATGACTGGGCATTGCTGCTAGGACAATGGCAAGTCACTGAAGGTTTTATTTAAGCACTATTGTGTTGACATAACCCTGGACTCCAGCAGTGATGTGGAAGATTTGTTGGTTGAGACTAGAGTCCCAGAAATAATCGAATATGAAAACCCAAGGGAACTTCTGCCTTACTCCTTCATTTAATGACTGAGGACACTGAGATACAGTAGGGAAGTGAATTGTCCACAGTCACCGGGGGAGGTAGTAACAGAGCCACAATTACATCCTGTTTTTCTGACATGAGACAAGTGTTTCAACTGCCCCAGTCCTTTCTGCATCAGCCACACAGTATGCTGAGACACTGAAGTGCCCAACTGTTGGAAAGCTTAGTAAAGGGAAGACTTCAGGATAACAGAATAGGTGATTTGTGAAATTGTGCATTTCTAGTGAAACTTAAAGCCCATGTATCATGTTCATTTCATTTTTAAGGTACAGAAGTTTGCCTTTAATTGCTGCTGAGTTAATTTTCTGTTAGGATGTTTCTTTCATGAGTAGGCCTTTAGGTTTAAGAGTATAACATAGTTCACTTATTGTGATATTTGGCTATGTTAGAACCTCAGTTTATTAGCAAATACACCCACTTGACTTTCCCCTTGATACGTCCCAGTTTCCACAGGTGCTTATGTACCTACCCATACCAAAAAATTTTTTTCTTGTCATTTACTCTGTGTATGTGTGTCTCTGTCCTATTTCCCCACTTGACAGATACATTTTACATGGATAAGATAACATATTTTATTCTCTGGTACCTGTGACTGGCACACAGCAGGGATTTGACTTGATTATTAAAGAATGACAATTGCAATAATGATAACTTTCATACACTAAGCACCATCCATATGCCAGGTATTACTCTAAATGCTTTTTAAAAGACATCATCTGAAGATTAGTCTAAAAATATTCAGTGTTTGCCTCCCATGTGCTGAGTGCTGTGTTGAATGCTGGAGAAATAGCAGTAAATAAAATGGGGTTTACGGCCTGAACTTCAGTGCCTTCCTTCTCAGCACTGCCTCAAACCTCTCCTGATTCATGCTAGCCCTAAATACATGATTGTACATAATTAAGAAAAGAATTACAGTATGTCAGTTGCTGTGAGGGAGAGATACTGAATGTTGGGAGTAAGAAAAGACTTCTTGGATAAAATGAAAATTAAATTATGACATGAAGGGTGAGCTAGGTGTTATTCAGAAGAAAGGCAGGTGGTGTGTTTTATGCAGAGAGAGTATTCAGGGCAGAAGCCCAGATGGAAGGTACCAAACATGGTTTGGTTCAACCAAACTTTGAAGAACAGAAGTCGAGAAAGGCTGGAGCAGAGGAGGGAAAGAGGACAAGATCATGCTACCTGAAGTCTTGCTATTAAACTCCCATGGTGCCTTGTGAAGCTCTGTATAATGCTTTTTATAAACAGCATCTAATCAAGTGTAGTTAACCATATAATTTGTATATTATTTGCCTAAAAAACTGTCTTTTCTGCTCTGTTGAGCTCCTTGAATACAGGGTGCTATGTAGGTCTTATTTCATCACTAGTACTGCCCTAAACTCCTCCCCATATGCTTGTTTTCTATTTTATCTTTAGTAAAGATAAAGATAAAGACATTTTATCTTTAGTAAAGATAAAGATAAAGACATTTTGTCTTTACTAAAGATAAAGATATTTTATCTTTAGTAAAGATAAAGATAAAGGTATTTTGTCTTTAGTAAAGATAAAGATAAAGGTATTTTGTCTTTAGTAAAGATAAAGATAAAGGTATTTTATCTTTAGTAAAGAAAATGAATGCTTTTCCGACAGGCCCACCTACCTGTAAGCACTATACATAGTTTCCTTACTGAGTTGAATTTGTAGTATTTCATTTATTTATTCATCCATTTGATGGACATAAGTGTGTGCCAAGAAAACTTAGGAAAATGTAGGAGGTTCCTCATGGGCTAATTCTTGATCTAGACTTAAAGCTAGGCATAACTGAGACCAAAAAATCTCACCTGCAAAGCAATATATTACAATTTTAAAACATTTAAATTTTAATGTATTGGGTTATGACTTTTTTTTCGTTTTTGTGGTTTAATTATGCCAGTATTTCAAAACCTGCTTTTGTTTTTCCCGACCCAGCCCATCTGCCAAGCAGCCTATCAGAATGACTTTGGACAAGTGTGGCGGTGGGTGAAAGAAGACAGCAGCTATGCCAACGTTCAAGATGGCTTTAATGGAGACACGCCCCTGATCTGTGCTTGCAGGCGAGGGCATGTGAGAATCGTTTCCTTCCTTTTAAGAAGAAATGCTAATGTCAACCTCAAAAACCAGGTGAGGTCATGACATGAATGGAGAGTGTAATTGTTCATGATAATTCTTTTCTCTTTGAATCACTAGAAGTGGTGCATGTCATTTTTTAAATTGCTTGCAGCTCCTAATACGAACAATTATCTTAGCCTACTTTAGAAAGACTGACACATACCAAGGACATTTTATTAGGCTAAACAGCAAAATAAAACATAGTTCAATCAGCAGGCATAATTTGTGATAAATTATGTCTTTTTACCTCTGGTTCACTTATTTGGCTGGATAGAGCTTCTTTCTTTTCCTTCTTCCTCTCTTCATCCTCCTCTTTCTTCCTCTCCCCTCTTTCTCATTACTAACACAGAAGCAATGGCAAAGATTTCTTGGAAAAGAAATGCTGTTTCATTAGTTAGATTTTTACCTGCTATATTAATGTCCTGATCTCCAGAGGATCCTATAGTGTTCTTGTAGAATGAAAGAGTACTATTGAGAAATTTACCAAGGACAAATAAGCTCATGAGCCAGAGGTTACTTGAAGTCACACAAAAAGGTGTAAAGAATATATTTAAAGATGCAATATTAGCTACTTTGGAGCCTTCAGGACCAAGAAAGAGAAGAATATGTGTGTATTGCTGTGAAAATCCTTGTGGAGCCCTTTCTGAACATCTAGCATTTGCATCGTAGTGAAGGCAATATTTAAATTACACTGAATAAATATTAAGCCATTTTTTTGCAATCATTATGACTGTCCTGTACCCACTTATATGCATTCAAGGCGAGAAAACACTGGAAATCCCCCCTTGCCCCTTCTAAGTCATTTGGAGACTAGCTCATCAGGAGTAACAATGTATTATCAGAAAATTGATCATTACTGGACTTTTTTATTTATGCTTACTATTTTTGGTTTGGTTGCGATTAAAAGCAAGTCATGCCTGTGCTGAATGGAACAGATATGCAACATCGTGGACTATAATAGGATCTCTGTAGATCACTGCTGTGAAACCAGATATGTGGAGTTGCAGTGAGTGGTAGTGCCAGAAGACAGATGTCTGTGGGTTCCTGCGCTCTTTTAAGAGGTGCGCTCGTTAGGAAACTGAGGGAGGAGACGTTAGCCCATGGGCAAGGCTGAGGAGACACTTTTATCTCCGCTTTGCAGAAGAGGAGGGCCTCAGCCAGCCTGCTGGGATTTTCTGGTATCATAAAAACCATGAAAAAGACTTTAGTGGATACATTAGATTAATAGATTTTATCAGTAGAAGTTTTTGGTTTGCATTTTCCACTTTCAAATGTTTCTAATGTTAGCATTTAATATTTTTATTTTCTCCAAATATTAATATTTGTACATTAATAATTTGAACCTGTGATTTCTCATGTCTGAAATCTGTTTATAAATTATTTCCAGAAACACTAAACAAACAAACACCTTAAAAACAAACAAACAAACAAAAAGCTCTGCTGGAGATTCAGAAGCACAAGCCTATGGATTCTATTGATAGCAAATTAAATTAAAACATAAAGATCCTTGTTTTTGTCTGTCAAACTGACCAAGATTAAAAAAGAAAACAAATGTTGATCAGAAAGTTTAAGTTATTATTGTCTTATTAGAACACAATTTGATAGCGCAATATGAAAAGCATTAATACTTTTTATGCCAGGAATTCTATTTTTAGAAATGTAGGCAAAGGACAAATTTGGAAATGTTGACAAAAATTTATGAATGAGCAGGTTCAGGCAATATTATTTATAAAAATGAAAAGTTTAAAACTTGAAACGGGCCATGTGCAGTGGCTCATGTCTGGAATCCCAGCATTTTGGGAGGCCAAGGTGGAAGGATAGTTTGAGACCAGGAGTTCAAGACCTGCCTAGGCAACATAGCAAGACCCCCGCATCTCTACACAAAATAATAATAAGTAAAAAATTATCCAGGTGTGGTGGCACATGTTTGTAGTCCCAGCTACTTTGGAGGCTGAAGTTGAAGGATCGCTTGAGACCAGGAAGTCAAGGCTGCAGTGAGCTAGGATTGTGCCACTGCACTCCCGCCTAGGTGGCAAAGCAAGATCCTGTCTCACAGAAAAACAAAAACAAAAACAAAACCCTCAAAAACCATGAAATGTTCAAAAGGCAGGGCTTAGCTAAATACATCAGAGTAGTTCCACTCAATACTAAGCCATGCAGCCATTACAATCATATGTTTAAAAATATTGAATTGCATGGAAAAATGTACATATTCTAAATATACGTTTCTGAACTGAAAAAAGCAAGATATGATATTGCATATGCAATATCATTCTACATTTCAAAATTCCACATTTATGCATTTAAGAAGACTGGAAGAAAATACAACAAAATGTCAACAGTTAACTCTGGACCATTTAATATAATAATGGGCAATTTAAAATTCTATCGTTATGTTCCTCTCTAGTTTCTAAAATTTTTTTACAGAAAATATAAATGCCTTCATATTAGAAAAACAAAAAGTGTTCTTATTTAGGTACAGTGCCTTGCATAAGTGGAAACTAACCTCCTTTCTTTCTCTTGGGCTCCCTCTCCTCTTACTGATTTGATTGGTATTCCAATTACCACCTTCTGTTTTGCCTTATATTTATTTGTGCATATTTCTGTCCATCTTTGATTATGAGGCCCTAAGAGTTCACATCTCCCACAACCCTTGGAAGCTGACATCTATTACCTGATAAGTATTCACATATTTGAAGAATAAAATTGAGTTATATGCATTCTTCTAGACTATGCACATGAAGGAACATGAAAAACAGCCATGTGGTTAAGAGTTTTCCTATGAACAAACCACAAAATGGATAATCGTACACATGGTAGATGATTAAGGGATAACTATCAATTTTCATAGTAAATTCAGTCCTAAGTTTATATCTCAGTGTATCTTTTTTTCCAAAAACTAAGTGGGTATAAGAATCTGTCTTCTGATGAGCTCTGCTGTGTACATTTCACCTTTGTTGACTCCCAGGAGCCCTTCCCTAGCTTTTCCTTTACACTGGACCGAGTTCTCTGTTCTGCTCCATGGAAAGCCGCATTCAGTAATCAGATGTATCCCACAGGAAAAGATGCCATGGGTACCGGAAAAACAAAAAGCACAAACTAAACTTTTTGAGATGGCCATCTGAATAAATTTTGAATTGAAATGCTTTATTAGTAAAGAATCCTTTTCTTAATTTTTAGAAAGAGAGAACCTGCTTGCATTATGCTGTGAAGAAAAAATTTACCTTCATTGATTATCTACTAATTATCCTCTTAATGCCTGTTCTGCTTATTGGGTATTTCCTCATGGTGAGTACAACACTTGTAGAGCAAAGGGCAAATGTGGAGATCGATGGTGTGACTCATTGACTCTTGCCAGGCCAGTGAGATGTTGAAAAGAAATAAAAACAAAAAAAGCCTTTGGTTTGTATTCTGTAATTGACATGTTCAACATACATCCAATGCTATAATTGAAGTACAGCAAGAAGAAAGCTAGCAAAAATAGTTAATCAATGGTAACATAATCCATGCAATGTTGATTTAGAAAAATAATTTAACCTTAACTAAGACTTTTCTGAAGGGAGCAAAAAAATTCTGAATATTAAAAAACACCCCTTCTAATATTTTTTTCTCCTTTTTTTAAAAGAGGAGTTTGTGTTTTTGGATTTATCTTTCTGACTTACTGATTTTTAAGTACTCCTCTGGTGGTGTGTTGAAAAACAGATCCTAAAAGTTTGCATCCAGAAGCTGACACACACAGAAGATACTTGTTGAGAATTTAAGCCCATTTTCACCTTGATGAATTTCTTCATGCTTGGATGAATCTTGGCAGACAGCAATTTTCTTGAATAAAGAAAGATGTAGTTGGTATAGAGATGCAGTCATATGAGGAGTAGAAGATGAAGCTTGAGATGGTTTTTGGTTTTTTTTCCCAATAGGGTAACAGATCTGCACTGACTTACTCACTTTTATCCATCTAGTTTCCTTTGTGCCCAGTTCCACTTCTCAGACATGACTCAAGAGATGCATAATTTACTTTAATTAAATGACCAAGCTCCCTCCTTGTTGTAGCTCATAAACTGTGAATATTGGTTACACCTGTTAACATCAGCCGCAGAACAAGTCTGCCCGTCAAAAATGTTATTATTTCATTGGGTATTTAAATGCCACAGAATTTGAGGAACTATAATTAAACATGACAATGTTGATTTTTATATTTGGATTTATAGGAGAGAGAAAAGAACTTTAATTCACTAATAAAAATATAATCTGCTCATATCCTCGAAGAATTCTTTAAAAATTCATTATGTATTTAGCACATAGCATTTAAATACATGTATTTTGGGGGCAGGGAGAATCTGTTATTTATTTACAAACATTTTTAGAGATTCTAAAGGTAAAAATTACAACTGTGATTAGAAGGCTCATTCAGAATTTATTGACACACAACTCTGCTTTCTAAGATGGTTCAATGTTTAGAGGCTGGAGGACTGGGCAAAAATAGTAATCGTAATGAATAGCTCAACTCTAGTTTCATGCACGTGCAATTTATTAATGGGGCCTAAAGTTGTAAATTTGTGATGAATTAACAAATAAGTGACATGAGAGGAAATGATAGGGGAGGAGAGAGGAAAGCATTGGGTTATTTCAGAGAAAAGTAGGCAGAGAAAGGCAGTTTAGGAGGTGACACAAGAGGGAAGCCTAAGGAGAGAGAACTGGATGGAGCTTCCCAGGTGATGACAGGGTTGAACTCCAGGGCTATACCCAGCTGAGCAGGGAGAGCTTTGCCTCTTCAGGAGACTGGAAGTTGGGGAAGACTCCAACAGGCTTGTGGTCAGAAGCTCAGGAGACTGGGAAGGAAAAGTGAATTTCTGAGGAGTCCTAGTTCATTTCATTAATTTGTTCAATTCTTTAACGTATGTTTATTATGGACCTACTATGTGCCAGACGCTGTGCTAGCTGTTAGGGACACAATGATGAACAAAATAGGCATAGTTTTTTACCCCATGAGAGTTAGAGGGTGGTGGGGAGAGTCATTAATCAAATGGCACAAACACATGTAAAATTACCATAAAGCGGGTGATACAGAAAGGCGACTGGTGTTAGGATAGCTAAAAAAGAGGGATTTCACCTGGTCAGGTGGGTCAGGGAAAGCTTCTTAGAGAAAGAGGGACTTGGGCTGATGAATGAAAGGTGAATATGCCAGGCAAAGAAGAGAGGGAGGAGGCTTCTAGGCAGAAGGAACTTCCTGTGCAATGATTCTCTGAGAATGAAAGATTAACAAAGGCCAATGTAAGTAGAACAGAGTGAGCCAGGAGGCGCAGAGTGAGAGAGAGGCCAGGGCAGGGCCATACGTGGAGCCAAAACATACGGGGCTTTGTAGGTCATGCTGAAGAGTTTACTTTTGTCCTCAGAGCAATGGGAAGTAATTGCACAGCTTTGAGCCAGGAAGGGAAAGACAGGTACTAGGCCCCATCCTCAGTGGAATTAGGTAGGTTTGGGGTGGGACCTGAGAAGTACATTTCTAAGGTTCTTAGGTGTCAGTGCCGCTACTTCAGGACCACAGTCTGAGAACCTGGCTTTAATTAATTGATATTAGAGTGAGTGAGAAGCTGGGGGAAATTTTAGGAAGGGTGCATGCATGCATAGGAGTGTTGGGATTAAAATGAAGCCTATTGATTAAATAGTCTCAGGCATAAATTGGAGAAACTATTTGTAAATAAGCCTTTCTTATAATTACCATTTGTAATAGGTATCAAAGACAAAGCAGAATGAGGCTCTTGTACGAATGCTACTTGATGCTGGCGTCGAAGTTAATGCTACAGATTGTGTAAGTTTATACTTTTAGCCATTTTGAAAAAATATTCAAAATGGTATTTGTAGGTAGCGTATTTGTCATCTGTACAGTTGCTTTATTTTCCTAGACAATTTTACATTTAGTTTTCTTTTATTTTCTCCTTTTTTTTCCCACTGACAGGCAACCTTGAGGTTATTTATATTCTGCTGAACTCATGGGAATAATACCTCTATTGATTATAAAGCATTTTTAAAATAATTGGCTTTAATGTTGTTGAGACGTTAAGGAAAACTAAGGCTCCGATAACAAAATACCAGCCATAATAGTTAAGAAGCTGGAGTGAGAATGCCCATGAGTAAACTCTGGGCTTGCCACTTTTTACTTCTATGAGTTTGAGCAAGTTGTAAACTTATTTTACTTTCAGTGTCCTCATCGGTAAAATGGGGATATGGATAATACTTATCTCATTGGGCTTGTTCATGTAAAGCACTTAGCACATGCTCAGAATGTAGTAAGTGCTCATTGAATGGCAACAGCTGCCACTGCAGCCAAAATCCCAACCCACTGATGAGAGGCCCCGTGTGCAAACTACAGATAAATAAGACAAAGGTCAAAGAAAAATCCCACTGATGGTAAGAGCAGTGATAACAACAGTAGCAGCATCCGCTCACTTCTTCCTGTTTATGAGCATAAGGTGTTGTTTTCACTTTCACCTCTGTGCTCTTGCACTCATCTTTCTTTCTCAATGATCACAGAAAGACAAAAGTTTATTTCTATGGTGTTTTGCTTATGGTGATTGAATAAAATTTTGGATTCCCAGTTCCTTATTGAAAAAGTAGGCAAGTGGAAATTTGATTCCAAAATACTAACATTCTATTTGTGATGCCTAACATATTTTACGTGTGTGCACATCTGTGTGTATTACCATTGTTTTATGATAGAGACCATGGCCCCATTCCTGTTTCTATCAATTATTTACATCATTTCGGTTTTGCCTATGCTGGTATCATGTTTAAATGCAGGCAGTTGTGTGTGTGTGTGTGTGTGTGTGTGTGTGTGAGAGAGAGAGAGAGAGAGAGAGAGAGCAAAAGAAAATAACTTTATGAAATTTATATTCCCTTTTATTTCAAATAGAACTTTTGGATAAATTTGTATTGACAGTTACTGTGCATTACCATTTCTTTAGATAGCTTTGAAATATATTAAGTAAGAGATTATTAAAGATGAAGTTAAAAGTTTGTTGAAGGTTTTTCTTGGTCTTTTCATTTAAATTCAATAGATTTAATATTCCTGCCTGTGACCAAAATTTCTCTAGGATATTTTCTCAGCAATTTATGTGTATTTCTCTCTCTAGATAGAGATATTGCATTCCTTCAGCTAGGCACAGTGACACTAGCCTGTAGTCCCAGCTACTTGGAAGGCTGAGATGGGAGGATCCCTTGAACTCAGGAGTTTGAGACACATGCAGGTACACACACAGACACCACTTCTAATACCAAAATTTTTTCAAAAACTATCTGAGTATTAAAATCTACTTTCTAGGTAAGACAGTGTTTTGTATTTTTGGATAATTAGACTCTATTTCACATGACAAAATTCAGAGCCAGAACTTCCATTTGTCATGCCACCACTTAATAAAAATAAATAATTGCAACATGATCTCCTATAATTTTAGAGGTGTTTCTAGGGAATGGGATCCAGAGCTAAACCTGTCTTGATAGCCAAAGGTACTATTTCTTCACTCACCAGCACCATGGTTGCTTGGCTACTTTTCCAAAGGCCAAATTTTGGACACTAATGCCCTAGCTATAATTTTTTTGACCTGTAGTGTTTTAAATTAGTACCAACAGAGTAGATGCACTAGCTTATAACACATAATATAAGCTATAACAAATCACGTTTGGGAAATGTCTCTGTAGAACTGCACTGATCTTGCAGGTGTCCTGCAGCAAGAGCACCCGACTTCTTCAGTAGGAATCATCACCAAAACCATAGAGGATAATGTTTATGTAAAGGGCCATGTGGAGACTCTTTAAGGGAAAGATGGTGACATGATCAAGGTGATGATCACCGAGGCATATAGCATGCGACAAAGAAACTTTGGCACAATTCAGCATCAGCTTTTTTAAGTTGCATTCTTTAGAACAGAAAATGGAAAACAAAAAGGCAGAGATTGATGGCTTATATGACACTAACATACATATACATTGAGACAGAGAAGAAATTTTTTTTTTTTTTTTTTTGAGACGGAGTCTCGCTCTGTCGCCCAGGCTGGAGCGCAGTGGCGCAATCTCGGCTCACTGCAAGCTCCGCCTCCCGGGTTCGAGCCATTCTCCTGCCTCAGCCTCCGGAGTAGCTGGGACTACAGGCACCCGCCACCGCGCCCGGCTAATTTTTTGTATCTTTTAGTAGAGACAGGGTTTCACCGTGTTAGCCAGGACGGTCTCGATCCTCTGACCTCGTGATCCGCCCGCCTCGGCCTCCCAAAGTGCTGGGATTACAGGCGTGAGCCACCGCGCCCGGCGAAAAATTTTTTAAGTACTAGAAATAGTTGTCTATCAATGGTTTGCAGACTATTTTTCTGCTTAGTTGTATACTACAAAGTGTGAAAAGGATTTGCCAATGAAGCCACATGCTATGGTCTGTGGAGGGCCCGACTTATGAGCTGAAGTTTTGGCCCTTTGTGTTTCAGTATGGCTGTACCGCATTACATTATGCCTGTGAAATGAAAAACCAGTCTCTTATCCCTCTGCTCTTGGAAGCCCGTGCAGACCCCACAATAAAGAATAAGGTAAGGGAGGGTGGACCGTGGTCTGAGGTTCCTCTAGCAGCAGCATCTTCTAATCTAGGCCTTATGTTGAAGTAAATTATTTGCCTCTGACGTAAACAACAGTAAAATTAATCATCCTCATTAAGGAATGAAGTTATCCTATTACTATTAGGACTGATTGCCTTTTAAAGCCCTTGCCAACACAGAGAGTCAATTGGTCTAAGCTACGTACGAGATCTTGGGCACTCTATTGGAAATAACTGTATATTTTTCCCCCCTCAGCATGGTGAGAGCTCACTGGATATTGCACGGAGATTAAAATTTTCCCAGATTGAATTAATGCTAAGGAAAGCATTGTAATCCTTGTGACCACACCGATGGAGATACAGAAAAAGTTAACGACTGGATTCTATCTTCATTTTAGACTTTTGGTCTGTGGGCCATTTAACCTGGATGCCACCATTTTATGGGGATAATGATGCTTACCATGGTTAATGTTTTGGAAGAGCTTTTTATTTATAGCATTGTTTACTCAGTCAAGTTCACCATGGCCGTAATCCTTCTAAGGGAAACACTAAAGTTGTTGTAGTCTCCACTTCAGTCAGAAACTGATGTTTCAGCTAGGCACAGTGGTACATGCCTGTAATCCCAGCTACTTGGGAGGCTGAGGTGGGAGGATCACTTGAACTCAGGAGTTTGAGAGCAGCCAGGGCAACACAGCGAGACCCTGTCTCAAAAAAAAAAAAAAAAAAAAAAGCCCTGGTGTTCCAAACTCAGTCTTTCCTGAAGAAGAGGATCTGAGTTATCTTCTGAAACAGCGTTCTCCCTTCCCAGTTGTATCACTCTTATAAAAAGACTGTCCAGTCTATGTCATGCCCTAGGAGACAAACTGTTCCTCCCAGCCCCCTTTGAGTATTGAGCAGAAGAATCAAATTATTAAATACGTATGTTTGTACAGAATGGTATTTGTGTATGTGTGTGGGCTTAGAGATTCACAAGTAAATATTCCTTTGGTGAAGGAATTTCAATAAAAACATCTATCAAGTGTCAGCGGTGAGTGTGTTTACACCACAGAAATTGGCAAATTGACAAATCAGAGTTTGTTTTTGTTTTTTTGTTTTTTACTTTCCATAAAGTTCGTTTACCAGCATACCACTAGAGATTTCGGTTTACAAATAAAAGCCATCTTGGTTTGAGCAAGACTATGCAACTATGAAAATGTTCGTTTAAAAAAATCTTCATGATCCTTTTGTAAATACAAGGTGGTTGCCAAGCTTGTTAGTTTTGTTTATTTTATTGATAGATGTAAAATATTATTGTAACTTATTTGGATAAAGTTCTTCAAAAGAAACAGAGCTATACAATGAGGTAGGATCTGGATTATTTGTCTAAGTGAGAGATTGCGAATATCAAAATATCTGTCTCACTTCTTCTGTGAATGACACAGAGTAGAAATAAATTCACTTTAAAAATATGACTGAATTTTGAAAATCAAGACTGAATCTCACATAGCTGCAGACAGGAACTAAGCCAGCCTCTTTGTATGTGGTAACAAGTACAGTATAAGAATGAAAGATTTACCATCCTTGAAAGCTCTAATGAAAATCAAATCCAGCAATATATATTCAACTGTGTACAGGATTTAAGAAACTTATTTTATGAAGGAAGTAATAGTGTGTAGATATAGATTCTGAAGTCTTTAAACGTGTCTTAATAAATTAAGATTCACTGGCATTGAGCTGAGCTACCAGGTGACCCTTGGGGACAAAAAACCCACACAAGTGAATTTCACACACCAGTATACCTTCAACAATATACTTTTGACACACACAAACCTTTGATTTGGTTTCAGAGATTTTGCAAAATAGTACCAATGTAATTTACAACTGTCATCTTTGAAATTGTGTAAAAGTGGAATAATTTTCTGAAGAAATAAATCATGGTTTGTCAATGAGTTGCAGAGACTGTCTGACATTAACTTTGTCAAGATTAAAGGATAAAGTATATGACAATTTGTTTCATCATGCTCATGACATTATGCAATTTTCTCCCTAGCTTTTAATTTTTGGAGGCAGAAAATTGAGCCAGAAATTTTTAGTCATTAGGTCTCCTAGCAACAAGCTGTAAACCTTCCAACAAGCTTGGACTAGAATCTAGACACTGAAATGCACATACATGCTTTATGTAATGCAGAATGCATTTATTGGAGAACTCATAAACATCCTATAAAATTTTCTTCCCTGAGATGCAACTATAAAACTTGGCCTTATTCTGAGAATGCTTAACATAGATTTCATCCATACTGTAACACTGATTTTGTTGTTGTTGTCCTTAAAGCAGCTCAGCTTCCTGAGGTAGTGTTATGTCTCTGTGGCAACAAGGTGAAAATGTCTAGCTTATTTTGTCAAAGTCAACAATAATCCACAGACTCCAGACCTCAATATCTGTCCCAATTTGCCATTTTACTTTAGTGCTCCAAAAATATGGCTTATAGAAAAAACAATAGGTGTTTTAAAGAGATTTACCTGAATGATATAGAGAATGTCTAGATATTTTCTGGCTATCAGGTAAAACCTACCCTTCAAGATGGTAGAATATATAATAGCATACAAAACCTCTATTTACCTAATAAGTACTTTAATTTACAGAAAAAAAATGTAAATGTAAGTGTCGGATTTAGTGCCAAGTGCAGGGAATCTGAAAAATGTATACTAGGTCTCTGCTCTCCGTAATTCTGCCTTCATGGGTCCTAGCCCCATCCCTCAGGAGGTTGTCCTAAGATCGTCAGTGTCAGATGCTTCACAATACGGCCTCACACCGTCCCTGGGAAAGGTTGGTCTCCTCCTGCTGCATCAGATGGATGATTTCATTGTACATACGGTGAGGAGCATCCAAACCCCAGATGAAATCCACGTGAGCCCATTCAGGAATATTCTTATGGTAGATGAGGTTGGTCACCTCAGAGAGCAGCATTTTCACGTCTTCTGGATTTGAAAGCCAGTCCTGACCTCCTGTCCACATTGCTGTAGGGACCGTCATATCTCTGACTCTGTACCTTACAGGAGTTGGCTAGAGAAAAGGAATAGTTCTTAACTCTAGGTAACATTTGGACTTTCAGGCTCATAATTTATGTTTCAAATAGACATAATAAACATGCCATCTGTTGTGGTGAAGGGTACATGGGTGTTAGAGCCACACAACTCTGTTAAGAATTTCTGTTCCCGCCCTTACTTTAAGGTAAAATTACTTAACATTATTGAACCTCAGTTTCTTCTTCTGTGACTGGGGATAATATCTGTAATAACTTGCTAGATCAAATGACAAAACACATAAAAACATGTAATGCCTTGTATTTCTTTTTTCTTCCTATTAAATATTTTGTAAATAAATTGTTTTTAAAAATAATGCCCCTGTTCTTTTAAAAGATAATTTCACAAACATTTCATGAAAGAAGAATTATATTCCACAGAGAAAAGCAAGGAATCTGCTGGGAAGGGCTCTGCATCTTCACAGTCTTTATGTGATCCCAGGCAGCCTTTGAGGCAGACCCGGCTTGACTGCATTTGCCAGAACCATGGCCTATGGCACTCAGGTAATTTGAGCTAAAGGGAAGTAAAAGTTAAATACCTGCTCCAATCCTTATTCCTCACCCTTCCCCACCAAATATACCAATTAGTATTCCTAATACCTGGGAACTTTCCGTATTTATGCAGTGTTAGTAGAATTAGCCTAGCCGGCTGAGCCCTTGAGATTAATCAGCATCCAGAACTTTCCTCAGAAGTGGTAAGGCCCATTTCTTACTCAGGAAATCCACCATGGAGTCTTGGCTCCAATCCTAGATGCTCTGGTTTCTCTTTGTGGCTCAGTTATGGCCTAATTTGGATAAGGAAGGTTGAAAAATTCTATGGGGCTAGTAATTTTTTTTGTCATCTTACAGGTGAAAAGATTGAACTGAATGTCATATCTCGCTCTGAGTTTCTGTGATTCTATGATTTTTTTTGTGTGTTTGTTTACTCTTCCCTTCCACTCCCATTTTCTGGTGCCTATTCTGCATGAATCAATTTCTCTAGAACTCAGTCCATTAAATGTTGATAAATTAAAGCCATCTTAGGGCCGGGCACAGTGGCTCACGCCTGTAATCCCAGCACTTTGGGAGGCTGAGGTAGGTGGATCACTTGAGGTCAGGAGTTTGAGACCAGCCTGACCAACATGGTGAAACCCCATCCCTAAAAGTACAAAAAAAAAATTAGCTGAGCATGGTGGCGTGCACCTGTAGTCCCAGCTACTCGGGAGGCTGAGGCAAGAGAATGGCTCAAAGCTAGGAGGCAGAGTTTTCAGTGAGCCGAGACTGCGCCACTGCACTCCAGCCTGGGTGACAGAGCAAGATTCTGTCTCAAAAGTAAATAAATATAATTAAAAAAACATCTTTGAACAGAAATACTTTCTCTAAAGACATATTTTGGGAAACAGTGAAGAAAGACTTCAAGAGAAGCAGCTGATACCAGAGATTGAGAGTTCACTATCCAGGGGCACTGCACAGTTTGTCCAGTTTCCTAGCATTTTACATCTAGATAGACATATGGCAGCGGATGTTAATTTATGATGTGAGGGTCTCAAAGAAAGACTAAGCTGTGTCTAATCTGCCCCTTCCAGTATTGTTTCTATGGTAAATATTTATTTACATTCATACACATGATTACCAAAAATCTTCAGAAGATTTTATGTTCTAAAGGGCATACCTGTGCAATTCTGAATCTCCACACTTTGATATCTAATTTTAGTTCATAGCATTAGCTACATATTTTCTTGGGTAATGTAATAACATTTTTAAAAAATGTAACTTGCAAATTACAGATTCATTTAAAGTATAACTAGGGAGAATGCCTATGGATTTTCTAAGCCCAAAATTTTTATTTTCAAGGTAAAGAAATTGAAGCCTGAAAAATTAAAGCAGCCTCCCTCCTATTACAGAAGTTTATAGTGCAGAGGCAAAACTTACACAGCAATCCTCACTTGCCATTTAATGTTCCTTTTACTGTGCCATGAAACAAACTTACTGCCACCATCCCATTTTTTTTAATTCTAAAATAATCCTTCTAGTATCCACCATAGACTACACTCTTCTCTTGACTAAATCTACTTCATCTTGCTCCTGAGAAGCCCAGTACCTTGTTTAGGGAGACAGCCTCAGCTAAAAAGGCCTCCTACTCCATTGTAAAAGCAGAGAGGTTTCTTGGATCAGCTGTGAACTTAACCATTTTCAAATGGAGTCAAACATGAACCATTATTTTCTGCTTAAATTTTCATATTTTATTCCCATATCTAGAATAAACTGTCATTATAACGTCCCTGTCATACATTTCCAATGTATATATTTTCAGCAGATGGTATTTGATTTTCTTACCTGATTGCATTTTTCCAGATTTTTGGTCTCACTCCCCCAGTCAAATGCCCGGAGTTCACCAGAATTCACTGCCTAAAAGGAGACAAAAATTTACAAGGAATTCCAACGTCTCAGTGGATAAGCGTGGTGGGGTGGTGGAAATGTGCTACCCAGTGTGCACTCATGAGGGAAGGAGAGAGCAATGGTTGAGCTGCTCTTCCATTCAATGTTGGGATAAGCGTCTCAGGAAAATGGTAAGACAAGAATGAGGCCTTTTGAGAAGAAAGAGGGACTACATAAATTCTTGATCATTGCATTAGCAACTCCAGGAAGTGCATCTTCATTGTAATTAATGTGAGTGGGTATCCTCCACAACTGTGTGGGCTACAATGGGGAATCGTGCCCTGGAATTGTGCAATGTGGTGATCCTGGAAGATAGCAACCAAAATTTAATTGAACTTATAATTCTTCTCTGGTTTTGATGGTACAATTGCTCTCTCTCTCTCTGTCTCTCCCTACCTGTCAACAGAGAGAACTCTCTCCTTCCCCCATCCCTCTCTTTCACACACACCACATAGACACACAGAGGTGTGTGTTTCCTGTAATTGCAGGTAAAGTTTGCAGTGTGAAGGACTCCTGTGAATATCTCTTTTGACAGACCCCACATTAGCATTTTTGTTTCTACTTGACTGTATTGTTGGAGGAGCTGAAGAGAAGATGTAGAAACATAATTATCTCCAGCCACATCTTTGAGGTGTCTAGAGACAGAGAGAAGTCTCACTTGGATCATCTAAATTCATACTTTTAAGATCTAAAGAAGTTCTTAGGCTACTTCTGTCCTTTCTTCCCATTTCTTGAAAAGTTTCAGTGATCTAGATCAAATTCTCCATCAAAATAGCATCGACGATACTGCATTTCATCTTAGAATAAGTGTGAAATAATCCCTGGCTTATCTAAATGGTGTCCTTTGACTATTCTACACAAAATATAACAGGACATTTAGCAAAGACTGCAAATTCAACATTCTTACCTGGCTCCAGTGTAGAATATTTTGCACAGATGTTCCAGCAAGAGTGTGGGCAGCATATACACTTGCTCGGCTCTGTAACAAACCATGAGTATTCTGGGGGACATAGAAAAACTCACAAGATGTATACCCTGTCAAGACCAAATCTCCAGGGTGTCAGACTAAGAAATGGTAACATTATTAAGTTATCAGCAATTATCTATGAAACAAAAATATGTACATGCACGTAAATAAAATGTCATTAAATGTATTGCCAGACACCGGTATTTTTCATCTGAGAATAGGTTCTCATCAGAGATCTGGCCCCTAATTAAAAAAAATTTTACTAGTGATATTTAGGATGAGGGCTCTAGCATTGGGCCTGTATTCAAATCCTAGTTCTGCAGTTTAATTTTTAGGTGAATTTGAGTGAGTCACTTAATCTACTAAATCTTAGTATACTAATCTGCAAAGTGGGGATATTAATAACACTCATAGGCTTGGTATAGGTAATAAATTAGCCTGATACATAATATATACTTTTCATATCCTTACTATAAATCAAATTATTAATCTTAAAGAAGAAGAAAAAATATTCAGAATTAAGGAAATGTTGCCCCAGCTGCTGGGAGTGCTGCTGGCAAACAGCCCTCCACTCTCAGTCTGCTTTGAGGATTGCACCAATTGTAGGCAGATACATTGCCCAGTGCTACCCTGTTACTGGTATGGCTACATTAAATGACTGACTGATATGGTGTATAAAGACCCAACCCTCTCTTCCTAACTTGAGACGGTTCTGAAGGGTCATCCTATCTTCAAAAATCCCTGCAGGATCAACTAAGTCTCCTATTGAGACTGCATCACTACTTGACTTTTTCACCTACCTAGTCCTGTTTCTTTTCCTTCTCTAGGTATTATCCCTAGAGCAGGACCCAAATCATTGTTCACATTAACCTCCATCTCAGAGTATGCTTCCTAGGGAACCCACCCAGTGATACCAACTGGTAGCCTAAGCCAAAATGAAGGTCCCTGATGTTCCATCAAAGAACTTAAACTACAAACCTACAGGACCCCAGTGCAGGGTAGAGGTGGATGATGCATGACAGTTGTCTCTGTTGTCTAACATGTGCTAATTGCTCTTTTTAATTTAATTCACTGTAGTAAAGCTGCTTTCAGACCTCTTCCATCTATAATCTGTGATTTAATATCAGCAATGCCCTTATGTTAACCTTGTTTCAGTCCATACTGAAGCATTTCCCTTATTTCCTTACAGTTTGCAGAGAACTGAGTTACTGAGAATATATCATTACTCTGAGTCTTCACTGGCATTAGCTCTCCCTCCAGGGGTGAGCCATATGACTCCCAGCTTTATGCTGGGATGCTGGGAATTTACTAGGCTCCCACTTACCATGTTCATATTGTTGGTGTTGAATCCACCCAGAAGTAACATGATATTACTACAAATCTGATCAAGAATCACCTGGCCACAAAGGTAAATAACAAGTTGTCTGAGAAATCTGGTCTGATACAGAAATTCTTTTTTGCCAAACAATCCCTGTGAAAATATGAAGTGACATAGACATGACAGACAGAAAAGATGTGACTGTAATTTAAAAGTTTATGTTTTAGGAAATTGGGCTGGAAGATTTTTCTACGTACACAGGAAGTTTTCTGAGGAGTCTCATACCTTGATCATCATATCTGGCAGCAACAAAAATTTGGTCCCGGGGCTTTTTGCATGCTTAACAGTGGCTATGGGTGCTAAAGCAAAATACATTTTGATTTTCTGAGCCAGCTCTGGCATGGTGGAAAATGCAATAAAGCCTGCAAAAGAAGAAATATGTCAACATGAATACGAAATATTTTTAGAACTCATAAAATGTATATTTTGCTTTTAAATACATATTTCAATAAGTATATATGTGACTGCATCTTACCTCTCCTATAAAATTATAAGGTCCTTATGACACCAGCATATTTGCTTTCAAGTAGTAGGTGCTCAATGAGTTAAATAAATAATTGAATAACACGATGTTGGCTTTGAGAAAATATTTATATTGAGAGATATGCTATATCTAGACACATATAGCACAGAGATATGCTATATCTAGCACATATGTCTATATGCTAGACACATTGCTGGGGACTACATGATTCTGAAGATGAAAAGAGCAGGTCTGAAGGAAGCACAAGGTGACAGATTTCAGGGATAGCTAGTGTCGTATGCTCACATTTCTTCCGAGTATACAAACCTGCTTTTCTTTGAACCTACCCATGGTGGTGCCCTGTGAATAGCCGACATAATAGATCTTTTCCTGGCCCGTTTTCTGCAAAATAAAGTTTATCACTGCAGGAAGGTCAAACCTAGCCATCTCATCATAACTACAAGGGGAAAAGACAAAGTTATATGAAAAATTATAATCAGAAACAAACAAAAGCTCCCCCCGACACCAGGTTTACAAACAAGCCCTTGAGTTGTCAACTCTGACAGCTTGTTACCGTGTCCCTCACAACACTCAGAATGGATTTCTTTCAAACCTATGAAGCATGGGTGCCTCTGGAGTCACAGGCTGTCAGCAAACTGCTGTTTTCTCTAGATGTTATCACGTAGCAATAACTATCTTCAGTGAATATTTACTGAGCACATAACGCAACTGCTAGTGGAAGTGTCCTGTTCTACTGTTAAGCAGAACCGCACAGGGCTCTGCAGATTCATTTACAGGAATAGTTGTAAAGATGCTGAAGTGGTCCGTCTCTGATAGCCATAAAAAGTGAGTTGAACATCAATAGGTAATTTAAATAAAAGAGTTAAAAATCTTTTGTAAGAACATGAGAGGTAAGTCAAATCGATGGTCCCTAGGTGATATGGTTAGGCCTTGTGTTCCCACTCAAATCTCATCTTGAATTGTAATCCCCATAATCCCTGTAATCCCCATGTGTCAAGGGAGAGACCAGGTGGAGGTAGTTGAATCATGGGAGTGGTTTCCCCTGTGCTGTTCTCGTGATAGTGAGTTCTCATAAGATCTGATTGTTTTATAAAGGGCTCTTCCCCCTTTTGCTCAGCACTTCTTGCTGCAGCCTTGTGAAAAGGGTGCCTTGCTTCCCCTTCACCTTCTGCCATGATTGTAAGTTTCCTGAGGCCTCCCCAGCCCCGCTGAACTGTGAGTAAATTAAAACCCTTTACTTTATAAATTACTTAGTCTCGGGCAGTTCTTTACAGCAGTGTGAAAACGGACTAACACACTAGGCTTAATAGTTTCCTTTCTTTTTTTTTAATGCTGCCTGGTCTCTTTTCCTTCTGGAGTACTATTATACTATTACCCGCCCCTCCCCATGAGGAAATTGATCTACACTTCTCTCATTCCAATCTTAGTCACCTGACACCAACCACCATTCTCACCCTATTAGCTAGACCCACCTTCTACATGGGGAACTCAGCATTCCTCACTACTTCAACCAAGGAATCACTAGTTAATTAAGAAAACTGGGGGATATCATGTTAAGATAATGATGACTCAACCAAAATAAATCAACCAAATACTAGAAGCCGTAATTTTTTACCCATTTTTTTTGAAAGACAGACATGTCTACCTCTGTTCTCGAGATTATCATATACCTGAAAGCCCAGAACTCATCTTGGTCTATGGAGAGTGTCTTGTGTTTTCGAGACCAGGCGTTTCCCCTGCTGTTCCCCATCCACACGTCAAAACCAGCATCTGCCAGAATGAAGCCCAGGCTATTGTTGGGCAGGTTGGAAATCCAGTTGCTAGCACCTCCAACTAGGCCATGCTGCAGTAACACCACAGGCCTGGAACCTGCAAAAAGAGAAAATTTCAACTGTATGAAATGTTCTCTCCCTTTCTTGTTGTCCAGTAATGAATAAGAGCTTTCAAATCAAACAAACCTGTGTTCAGATCTTGATTCAGCTGCTTGCTAGCTTAGTTATCTTGGCCAATTACTTGACCTTTGGTGTGTGCCTTGATTTCCTCATCAGTAAAATAAGATTTTTGTTATGCTTTAATAAAATAGAGCACAAGAAATGGATGGCATGTTGCCCGGCAGAAAAAGAATCTATAAAGTTTAACTTCTGTTCTTTGTTTTGTGTAATTATTATCAGACTTGTCTGGGCTCTTCAGAAATATTGAAAGTGCCCCAGTAGATGGTATAGTATGATTATTAAGGTATATGTATACCACATATATATAATGGTTTAGTGATTAAGAGACCTTCATGTCAAAAGGACCCACAAGCCAGCTTGAAGGAGCTCCCACTGTTCAAATACAGAAATATTGAGCATCAAAATAATTATAGTAAATAATTATATCCCATTGAATAAATTAAGAATGTTCAAGTCCATATAGAGACCAATAAATAAATGAACAAATAAATAATTGGAAGGAAAAGCTCTTATTTACAGAATGCCAATTAGTAAATACAAAACATTGATTTACAGTACAATACCCACTAACAAATTCAGAAAGATTGAAATTATCAGTGAATGTTAAAATTAGTGAGTAAAATTTAAAGACAGAATACTACATATCCTGAAATTATCTTCCCATAACTTATTTGTTAATTACAAAAGGAAAAATACTAACTTTAGAAAAACCTGGCAGATACCACCTTAATGAAGTCATTAAAGTTATTATCAGTATTGGAACAAGCCAACATTATTTGCTTCATAATATGATGAACCAAGAAAGATATAACTTCACTTTTGGGTTATTCCTGCCAAAAACATATAACTTGAATCACACCATGAAGAAACATCAGATAAAGCAAATTAAATCCCTGTCCAAAACTCTTCAAAAATGCAAAAATCAAAAAGACAAAACCTTAGGAATTGTTTGTTTATGAAGGAGACAGACTTGGTGGCCAAATGTATAGTAAATGATCCTGGATTAGATTATGGACCAGAGGAGGGAAAACAGCTGTAAAGGACTTTGGGACAATTGACAAAATTTGGATATAGACTACGAATTAAACACTAATGTCAATCAATGTTTGTTTTCTAACTTTGATAAAGGTATTGCAGTTATAGAAGAGAATACTCTTGTTCTTAGAAAATACTCACTGAAGTACTTAGGGGCAAATAGGCATGATGTATGTCTCAAATTTACCATCAAAGGTTTTGGAAAAAGTATTAAGATACACGTAAGAGATGGGGGAGAGATAATGATAAAATAAATGGGGTAAAACTGTAAACAGTTGGTAAATCAGGGCAAAGGGCATATGGAAGTCCCTTGTACTATTCCCAGGACTTTTCCATAAATTGGAAATTATATCAAAATAAAGAATTATAAGAATATCAGTAGAGAATAGAGAAGGATGAAGGGTTTTAAGAATTCTAATATGTTCAATAAATTAAGGCATATATATTATTTTGACATTAGCAAATTTGGCTGAAAGATTAATAAGGTGCTGCCCTATTAGGAGTAAAAAATATGTCATGCCCTCAACAGGACTTGTGAGAATTAAATCAAATCATGAATGCAATATCCACACCTCAGTATTGGCTCAGAAGAAGCCTGCAGTAAAAAACAGCCTTATTGCTTTCATTATTATTGTTATAATTCTCTAAAGCAAGTGACTTTCTGAGCTTCAGTGTTCTCATTAGCAAAATGAGGACAATTGCCCACCTCACAGGGTTTTGGCAGGGGAGGGTTAAATGCGGTACTGTGCATTAAGCACTCAGCATGCTGCCCGACCTCAGATCAGATGGGTAGCTCTTGTTGTTATTGCTATAAACGGGCACCAAACACACATGCAGTCTCCCTGTAGGACAAAAGCCTTCTACACCAAACTCATCCAGCATCTTGACAGTCTTCATGAATTCCATCTGCCTCATTTTGTCTCTCAAGGGAGAGAACGTGTGGGTCACTGTGGACTGTGAGTGAAGGGCCAGGAGGAAGGAACTCAGTGTTATTTTAGATTTTCCTTGAAAATCTAATCTGGTCATTTAGTTCATCCTCTTAGTTCTCAGGGAGGTGACCTCAGCTGTGTTAACACAGGACAATCAAACCAAGGTGATCAATGCTCCCCTTGAGAGTCCGGGCATTTCCCATGGTTAAGGTCACCTTGGTTCTACTTAGTCATATAGTTTGTTCTTGTGATTCCCCTAACAAGAGGAATGGCTCATTTATATCATTTCAAACATCCCCTAGGTCTTCTATTTAATTTACACCCAGCAGGTAAGTGTGTAAGGGCTACACTTACACAGCTGTCATTTCTGAGGATGGCCCAGCCTATTTTCTCTCTTGATATTGAAGCCAACTAAGATTCTTTGATAAAGATAAAAAGGCCGCTACCACAAGCTATAAGCTTTACAGTAAACATTTTTCAGTTGTTTTCAATAAGAATTTCACTGGCTTTCTTGGTTGGTGAATTTTTTTTTTTTTTTTGATATGGGAGATTGCCTCTGAAGAGGCACATGCCAACAACATTGGCCACTAGAGGGAAGTATTCTGCACGGACTGGAACAAGGAGGCAGATTCCTTGAACCTCAAACACCTGGGCAATGTGTGAACAGTCTGAATCAACAGGATGTAAGAAAACAAATTCCATCCATAGAATAGGGGCTGCAGGTGACCCCCATGCTTAGTAATTGCTAAGTCACTCGACTGCTTGGAAGAACTGTGCTTTTACCACTCCCCTGAGATTCGTGGGGCTGTGTCCCCAGGCTATTCATTTATTTATACAAAATCTATAATTCATCCCGCAAATATTTATTAGCACCAGAATGTGCTCAGCACTCATTTAGTTACTGGTTCTAGCCTTGAGCAAAACAAATGATGTCTCTGCTCTCACTGAGTTTACACTCTGACTGGGGGGAGACAGACAATAGACAAACATGCAAATATCTATTATATCAGGTGATGGTAAGTGCTATATGGAAAAGTAAGCAGGGTAAGGGGCTAGAACTCAATAGGTAGCAAAGAGCTGCAACTTTGAATAGGGTGGCCAGGGAAGAACTCTGATAAAGTTGGCTGAAAGAAGGGCCAAGGCAAGCTGCATAGACATCTGATGAAACAGTGGTCCAGAGGGAGAAATTTAAGTTCAAAGACACTAAGGCAGGTGCACGCTAGACATGTATAAGGCGCAGCTGTGCAGCTAGTGAGAAAAAAAAAGGTGGTTTCAAAAAGCTACACAAGTACAAATTGGAGTAAAACAGAACCCCAACGTTTCTTTACACCAAAGCCCAATAGCATTTGTCCAGCATTTTCTGGTCCTAGTTAAGAACACGGGCTATAATGGCAGAGAGACAGATTTGATTTGAGTGCAGGTTTTACAACTCACTAGCAAGCACTAGCACAGACGTTTTGGGCAAGTTGCTTAACATATGTGAGTAGCAGTTTCTTAGGGTAATTGTGAAAATTAAATGAGACTAATACAAATAAAGCACTTATCAGTGTATCTGGCATATCAAAATAACACAAGAAATTATATTACCTATACACAAGAAAGACAATATAGTTGCTACTATAAACCTACTGCTAGAGTATTAAAAAGAATCCAGCCAAATAGAAATGAAAAATAGGCATATTTTAGTAATGAAAACAAATGTTTAAAAAATAACAATAGCTGAAAATCCCACATACAAAAGGGTGGAATTGTATGAACTATGGAGACATGTATCAAACATTTAAAATGTATGTATAGCCAGGCGCGGTGGCTCATGCCTGTAATCCCAGCACTTTGGGAGGTGGAGGCGGGTGGATCACCTGAGGTCGGGAGTTCAAGACCAGCCTGACCAACATGGAGAAACTCTGTCTCTACCAAAAATACAAAAATTAGCCAGGTGTGGTGGTGTATGCCTGTAATCCCAGCTACTTGGGAGGCTGAAGCAGGAGAATTGCTTGAACCCAGGAGGCGGAGGTTGCGGTGAGCTGAGATCCTACCACTGCACTCCAGCCTGGGCAACAAGTGCAAAACTCCACCTCAAAAATAAAATAAAATAAAATAAAATAAAATAAAATAAAATAAAATAAAATAAAATAAAATGTATGTATAGAACTTTCGTTTTTCAAAAGCCCTTAGTAAAAAGCTAGGCAACATCTTAAATATTTTAAGTGCTCTTTAGATGAGGAATACAGAGTATACAGGAGCGGGTACCAGGTGCCATAAAGAAGCTTGAATTCTTCATAATCAGAGGCTGATATGGTCTGTTCAAGGAATTGTCAGTAAATATTTTAGAATGTCTACATAGGAGGAGTTTTGGGGAATGGGTTAAGCGCTAAAATAAGTCAAGAAATGAACTTTTCTTGAAGGAGTGTTTTGAAAAGCAAACACTGTATGTTTAATTGAGATAATTGGTGGCAGTGGGGACGGACACGGTGGTGGTGATGGAGACTATGGGGGAACTGACACCATCCTTTGACCTGAACAATGGACCTCACTCTGCACTAAGAACCCAGGCTCTCTTCTACATTCAAATCACAAGGAAATCGTGACTGCAGAGAAGACTGCTGTGTTGCGGTGACATGGGGTGACCCACACCTGTCTTCTTAGGTTGCACTAGGCCTCGAGGAATCCTGTTAACAGAAAGGATATACCCATCTTCAGTTGCGACTTCATATTCCTCACAGGGATAGCCTTGATGTTGGATGATTTCACTCTATGGAAAAAGCACAATTTCTTTTAGGTTCAGTTCTCTGTGGCCATATTCTCAATGATCCAAAAGTAAGAGTAGATTCCTTGATGCTGTAAAACACAGTGAAAGTCCTTGCTTTTCCCTAGCTAATCATGTTACCTTAGAAAAATCTGCTAACCCTCTCTAGTCCTTACTTTCTTTGTCTTAATATGGAAACCGGAATAGAATTATGGTTCTCAAAGTATGGGCCTTGGGACAAAGGCATCAGCATCACTTGGACTAATCTGTTAGATATGCAAATTCCAACCAAACCTACTGAATCAGGAACTCAGAGGACTGGGCCCAGCAGTTTGTGTCTCAAGCTCTTTAGGGAATTTTGATGTACCCTAATGTTTGAGAACCACTGGATCAGAACATTGATTCCAAAACCTCGTTGTGCATCAGAATCTTCTGGGCATTGAAACATACAGAGTCTTGAGCCCACTTCAGGTTACAGATAAGATGGTTCTAAAGCAGCCAGTGGGGCACCTGTTCCAGGACAACTTATGAGCATTCCTGGGCCATGCATTTCCTAAGGTTCTTTCCAGTTCTAAAACCACAGACTCAAGAGCATTGATTCCTAACATTTTCAGGTTAAAGTTCCCTCTGTGAATTTGAGGAGAACTATAAAAATGGATATACAATGGATACAAAAACATGGTTTTGCATTCAATTTCAGGAGTTTCAGATATCTTGTTGCCTACATACGAACCCCTGGTTAAGAATCCTTACTCTATACAGTAGTTACATGTAGACATTCTCTGGAAAATTTGTAGCTGCAAATATCTTCTAAGCATCCTCACTATTCTTGCCCATTGTTATCACTCAGAGAGAAGGAGAGAACCATTTGCATCAGGGGCTGCTTTAAAAAAGAGCAAGAGAGAAGGCCAAACATCACATGCCCAGGTAGAATATAGGGCAAAAACAAAGCATAGTCATTAGGAGAAAGCTCCTGGGTCCCACTGTTTGAGTTTTAACACTGGTTCTAACACTATTACATAAACTAGCTGTATAATCTTGAGAAATTTAGTTAAACTGCTCCTATGCTTCAGTTCATGCATCTGTAAATTAGGAATTCTAATGGTTCATACTCCATGGGACTGTTGCAATAAATGCAAAAAGATAATGCACATATAACACTAACTGTAATTCCCAGCACATAGTAGGAACTCAATAAGCATTAACTACCACTATAATTAAAACTCAATTAACCGAATATTATGGAATGCAGTGTATATGTGTGCATGTATGTGTGTGAGACACCATTGTATACTTAACCTTAAAAAAATGTATAGGCCGGGCACAGTGGCTCACACCTGTAATCCCAGCACTTTGGGAGGTTGAGGTGGGTGGATCACAAGGTCAGGAGATCGAGACCATCCTGGCCAACATGGTGAAACACCATCTCTACTAAAATAATAATAAAAAAAATTAGCCGGGCGTGGTGGTGCATGCCTATAGTCCTAGCTACTTGGGAGGCTGAGGAAGAGGAATTGCTTGAATCTGGGAGGCGGAGGTTACAGTGAGCCAAGATCGCGCCACTGCACTCCAACCTGGTGACAGAGGGAGACTCCATCTCAAAGAAAAAAAAATTTATAGAAGTGTCTCAAATTTTAGCATGCATCAGAATTACTTAGAGGGTTTGTTAAAACACAAATTGCGGGACCCCACTCACAGTCTGATACAGCAGGTCTGTGTGGAACCCAAAAAATTGATATACAAGTTCCCAGGCAAAGCAGATGTTGCTGATCTGACAACTATCCTTCAGGAACCACTGTTGTCAACTATTTGGGGAGTTAAATATATATAAAAACATGAGAATGGAGGACATCTGACAAGTAGTTATTGAGAGGATATGTGTAATGTGTCAGATGAGGGATGAAGGATGAGAGTGAAGGAAGGAGCAAAGGAATTCTGAGCAGGAGGAGCAAAATGAGCAGGGCTGGACAGGCAAGGTCTTATGGAGGAAGAATTTGAACTGGGCCTTGAGGATTGAATAGAAGTTGCTCAAAAGAGCCAAGGAGGTAGGGATAGGGACATGGACATCTGAGAAGAAAAAGAACTACAAATGCTGCAAACATTGTCTACAGGTGGCAAGATGGTCAACATGCTATACTTGGCAGGAAAATTTATGCAGGCAATAAAGGACTGGTCCCATCCACTGGAAGTGCTGTCAACAGATCACCCTTGGCTGTCATTTTCTGTAGGAATGGCCTTAGCTGTAGAAAGCCACTTCCTCCAAGTTCACGTCCCTTCCTGCCACATCCAGTGACTGACCTGTTTGCGGTCTAAAGGCCTGGTCATCTCAGCCCAACGTAGGACATCTCTGAAGAGCAGTTTTAGCTCCATAGCTCCTCATGGAGTTGAGTCTGGCTGTTTTGAAGTCTGTATCACAGTTTGATTTATCTCTTTCCTTACTCCTGATTCTCTACTTCCTTTCCACAGGCGATGATGATGATTCTCCTTAATAAACATTATTGTATGAATTCTGCCTCAGAGTCTGTCCCCCAGAAAATCCAACCTGGGGCAAATACTTATTTAAAAAAATGGAACATAATGCAGCAAGGTGAAATGATGTTGTAGAAGGGTATTTAAAACGTTGGGAAATTCTTCATGATATACATTGTTTAGCAGAAAAAACGTTGGAAAATAGTAAATTGTGCATGACATTTCTTCTTAAGAAAACAAAACCTCACAGATTTAGAATGAAGATAAAGGCATGACAAAGCAGTTCTTGGTGCAGAGTACATTGGTGACTATTGCCTTCTTTTGTATTTTTTAAATTTTCTATAATGAGCATATATTGCTTTTGTAATAGTATAAAAAAGTCAATGTTTAAAAGACCATCCAGATATAAGCTGCTTTCAGCTCCTTGAATCTGGCATGTTCTTAGCTGCTCCAGCTGTCCTATGTGCTGACCTTTTTGCTACCACCCTCTCAAGCAACTGCCATTTATCTTTCAGATTTCAGGCTTTGAAACCCTTCTTCAGCAAAGCTTTCTGGATTAGTTCCCCCTATTTTATGTTTTCTTCTTTTATTTCATTGCTTTTATAATGACTAATTGATGATCTGTCCTTCCTGCTGGACTATAAGCTCCATAAAGTCAGGGCTTTTAATATTCTTAGATCTGTCTAACCTTAGTACATAACACAATATCATGGACCTAGTAGGTGCTCAGTAAACACTTGCTTAAAAAATACATGCATAAGGCCAGTTATTCATCAAAGTATAAGATAGACCATAATCCATATGCATGAATATACAGAGTCAAATCAATGCAGGACAGACAAGCTCCAAAATTGGGGCTTACCCTGGGAAGGTTCTTGGCTTTGCCCAGGAAAGAATTCAAGGGTGAGCCGGTAATACTAGACAGTAATCTTTTACTGAATGGTACTGCTCCTTGAAAAGCAGAGCTAATTCATAGGCAGTGCTCCCAGAGTCAGCAGTGTATGGGCTATTGGCAGCTGTATTTATGCCTACTTATAACTATTAATTTCATGCAAATTAAGGGGCAGGTTATTCAGAAATCTCCAGAAACGGGACAGTAACTTCTGGGCCATTGCCATGGAAAGGGGTACTAACTCGTGGGTCATTGCTATGACATTTGTAAACTGTCATGGTTCTGGTAGGAGTGTCTTATGCTAATGAGCAGCCGGGGCAACTAAAGGATGCCTTCCAGGCCACTGCTGGTTCTTGCTGTTTTTTTTTCACCACCTGCTGGTTTGTGCTTGTTTATTCACTGTATCCTGTTGGGACCAGAAAGTAAGTCCTGCCCTTCTCCTACCTCAGAACCAGTTCAAACTTGCAACTACTTTTATTCTATTTTGTTGAATTTACACCAATCGTACGAATTTTCTATTTTACTTTGTTTTTTTCCAGGCATAGCTGCTTAAAGGCAGAGCCCAATTCAATGGGCTTTAGTCTACAGACTCCTGAAGCCCCAGTAGTGTATAGGTGCTGGGTACACGCAGTGGGTGGGGCCCAGGAAGATCATCTCTGTCTGCCACTGCAGAGATTCCCCTCACCTCCAAACCAGAGGAATTCAAGTGGGACAGTCTCAGGGCCAGAAGGATGACTCCTGAGGACTGACACCAATGTGCTAACTACCTAGACAAACCACCTAATCATTGAATAGTCAAAAGAAACCTGATATTCAGCACCATGCAGATACAGAATATTTCTATTTCCTCTCAGTTTTTGAACCCATATAAGGAAGCTTCTGTAGAAAGGGTCTTAAATCGGTATAAATACATGTTAAAGTTCCATTTTCTGAGAGTTTGTTAGATAAATCTCTGGAACATGAACATTGCACATGATCGTCTTACTCATCTGGAGGTAGCCTCTCCTCTTTCTCACCTGGGAGGGTTTATTGCGTAGTATTTATAATTATAGACTTTGTGTTTAGGCAGTCCTGAATTTAAATAGTAGCTATGCTATTACATTGGTATGGCCTTGTTCAACTTGTTTAACCTCTTTAATCTCAGTATCTAGATTTGAAATATGTGAATGATCCTATCTACTGCACAGGGCAATGAAATTGAAATAGAATAGTATCTCTGCTTGTGTCATAATCCCTGCTATGGGATAAGTGTTACCATAGGGTGACCATTACTAAAACCCAGCTTAGAATTTGAAAAGCTACCAAAAAAAAAAAAAAAAAAAACCTCCTGGGAAAACTAAAGAGATGTACTGTCATTTATGCATTTTACTTGTAGGAGGTTCTGTGTAGCACTAACTCGGGGTCCTTTTATTGCTATTCAGCAAAGTACCAGTCCAGAAACAGGATAAAAAGAGTAGATTAGAATGGTATAAGATGCTACTAGAAGTGTGTGCCCTGATAGCAAGAAGCAAAGGCTGACACCTTTGCAATATGGAAAAAAAGAATAAAAGAATAAAAGGTACAGACAAAATGGAAATAATCAAGGGACTGGGGTGAACTTAAAAGGCCTTAATTACTTCTCCACTCATAGGATGAACCAAAGTGTTCAAGGAAAAGTTAAATTGTGTTTGAAGCTCAAAGAGATTAAGTCATTTGCCCAAGTTTACTAAATTTGTGTGAGGAGACCCCAGGTCTACTGACATCCAGTTTAGCATTCTTTCCAGTACAATTTGCTACTTCATCACTATGCTCTTCTAGTATGAATCACCACCATGTATAAATATAATACATAATGTAAATAATACACAGATACAAACGTTAACATGTTAAGTACCTCATTTCCCAGAAATCCCAACTTACAATATTCATGAATGCTTCTGGGTCCACAGCTTTAGTTGGCATATGTACTGAATTCACATTTCTCTGGAACATATACGCCACCAGAATCAGAAGCCACATTTCCATTCTGTGTGAGACAATCCACTGTCTTGACAAGGTTTCCAACATGGTCCAACATCTGCATTTATTTTTTCCTGCCAATGTAACAACTAATTCTAAAGTAAGAAGAATTTGTGGGTTTAAAAACTCTTCACATATTTTCCTGCTGCAATTCCCTCTTCCAATTCTGAAGCAAATTAGGCAAGCTTAGTTGGTAGGGAAAGAACACAAAGTAGGCTGGAAACATTGCCTAGGATGTCCCAATACTATCTGACTCCTCCCATTCCTCCCTCACACAACTTGTAATCCCTAATCCTTCAACTTCCAGGTGTGTAGAACTTTCTTTGATGTGACCTGGAATTTTGTGCATTTGATACAGCCTATTAAAACCCCTGTACTTTATCACCAGGTAATAAGGAGTGTAGGGAACCTCTTTCCTTCCACTCCTAGATTTTATCTTTCTTTGATAGATAGCAAAAGATGGAGTCTACAGAAAGCACTGAAAGTTTCTATAGTCATATTCTGGGTCTTCAATGATCACTGTTTTTTGGTTAAAGATAAGTGTTGTGATAAGTGCTTTTATTTAAAATATCTAAAATTTTATGGACATTTTCTACTTTTAGGGATGGGTGAGAACATTGATTAGAAGAAAATGAATCTTCCATGTTTAGCCCATTTCGTCTAGTTCAATTAAATAGATATACACAAAATTTTTATTTTAAGTTGTAATCACTAGTTAATCACTGGGATATGACTAGATGGATTATCTAGTAAATAAATCATCAGCTATTGTGTATTTTAGTTTTTTATATATATTTATTATATTTTAAGTTCTAGGGTACATGTGCACAACGTGCAGGTTTGTTATGTAAGTATATAAGTGCCATGTTGGTGTGCTGCACCCATTAACTTGTCATTTACATTAGGTATATCTCCTAATGCTATCCCTCCCCACTTCCCCCACCCCACGACAGACCCCGGTGTGTGATATTCCCCTTCCTGTGTCCAAGTGTTCTCATTGTTCAATTCCCACCTATGAGTGAGAACATGCAGTGTTTGGCTTTTTGTCCTTGTGATAGTCTGCTGAGAATGATGGTTTCCAGCTTCATCCATGTCCCTACAAAGGACATGAATGCTTCCTTTTTTATGGCTGCATAGTATTCCATGGTGTATAGGTGCCACATTTTCTTAATCCAGTCTATCATTGTTGGACACTTGAGTTGGTTCCAAGTCTTTGCTATTGTGAACAGTGCTGCAATAAACATACATGTGCATGTGTCTTTATAGCAGCACGATTTATATTCCTTTGGGTATATACCCAGTAATGGGATGGCTGGGTCAAATGGTATTTCTAGTTCTAGATCCCTGAGGAATCGCCACACTGTCTTCCACAATGGTTGAACTAGTTTACAGTCCCACCAACAGTGTAAGTGTTCCTATTTCTCCACATCCTCTCCAGCACCTGTTGTTTCCTGACTTTTTAATGATCCCCATTCTAACTGGTGTGAGATGATATCTCATTGTGGTTTTGATTTGCATTTCTCTGATGGCCAGTGATGATGAGCATTTTTTCATGTGTCTGTTGGCTGCATAAGTGTCTTCTTTTGAGAAGTGTCTGTTCATATCCTTCGCCCACTTTTTGATGGGGTTGTTTAAGGGATAATATCCAGAATCTACAAAGCTATTGTTTAAAATAATGGGTTGCAGCCTAGTTATTTTCATGAACTAAATGTCTCAGTTCAACTGAATGTGAGGCAAATGTGAACAATCCCTTAGCATACTAATGATTGAGCAGGTCAGGAGGGTTGATTTATTTGTCGTTTTAAGTAAAGAATGTGTTAAAAGTTAAAAAAATATTACTTAAAGTGAAATATTTCTCTATTACATCAATTCTTCAGGGTTGAGCTAACAGCAGCCACACCAATATGCAGACTTTTGGAATGTGGTGGGTGAAGGAGCCAGATGCTGAAACCAGAAAGATAAGTCTGTCAGAACATATCTTCCCACATGACTCAGCCTCCTCCACTTTGGGCTGGTTGCATGGGTGTGAAGAGGTAAGTCTGCATCCTTATCTGGACCAGTGTGAATGTCACTAACACAGCTAATCTGATGCCAGCTAGAGGAGCCATTTGACCTAATTAGAAGAGCAGAGAAAACACTTATCCAACACTCTGCAGAGCCCTGTGTCTTCAGCACCCCATGAGTTCTCCCTCAAGGTAGGCAAGATGAGATTTCAGAAAAGAATATGGGCTCCCATCACTGACATTTTAGGATTTGTAAATGTTATATAGCCAGAAAAAAAGATATCATTCAGCTTTCATTTTCAGAAATGTGAAGACACATTAAATGACTTGCCCCACATTGCCTAGCTAGACTGTGGCAAGGCCAGAACTGAGATTCAGATATTTTAATTTGCTGTTTAGCATTATGACTACATGGGAAAATATATAACACTTCGATGTCCTCTTCTCCATCAAAGATGAAGCCTAACCTACTAACAGGAAGCAATTACATCAATCTCTGTGAACTGTCTTTTTAAAAAGTTATCTTCTGGATTTAAAATTCAGAATAATTCCCAATGATGTCATTATGAGTTTGACAGATACCATCTGTCAAATACCATCTGTCAGATACCATATTACTTTGCTGTAATATGTTCAGGTAAGATCAACTCCCGCATTAGATTAATATGCTTGTGAATACTGTAGAGACTTTTTTAGGAGAGAGTTTATGGCAATAAACTGATTGGTTCAATCCCCCACCCATTCCTTTTTATTTTATTCCTTTTATTTTTTAGCTTTCTGCAGCTGCAGCCTTGGGTACTGAGTACATTGCAGAGAAAATATAATTAAATTTGGCTCTCAAATTCCTGGGGAACTTTATAAGGTCATAACTGTCATTTTGGAAGCAGGCAAAGTCACTTCCCAAGTCAGCTCAAAGAGCGACATTTTGAGCAAATATTAAATAAGTGCAGTTCTTCCCCACTGCAGAATTTTACAACACCCTTACCACCTTAGCAATCCCCAGCCCATGGAGAGCATCAGAAACATGATAAAAGAGATGGGAGGGGGCCGGGCGTGGTGGCTCACACCTGTAATCCCAGCACTTTGGGAGGCTGAGGCAGGTGGATCATGAGGTCAGGAGTTTGAGACCAGCCTGGCCAACATGGTGAAACCCTGTCTCTACTAAAAATACAAAAATTAGCCAGGAGTGGTGGAGGTCGCCTGTAATCCCAGCTATTTGGGAGGCTGAGGCAGGAGAATCGCTTGAAACCAGAAGGCGGAGGTTGCAATGAGCCAAGGTCCTGCCACTACACTCCAGCCTGGGCAACAAGAGTGAAACTCTATCTCAGAAAAAAAAAAAAAAAGAGAGAGAGAGAGATGGGAGTCCAAGTGTGCCAGTGTGTCTGCCCACTTCAAGGTGCTGATCTTGAGAGATTTCTCTTTAGACGCTTCTATTCAGGAACTCTGTGACCTTAGAAAATGGATTTTTGTCATCTGAGTACATAAAGAAGTAGGATCTGAAGTATCTGGATTTCTTAAAATGAAGAAAATTGATCTCCCTTAATGTACACTATCTATAAATTAATATTAAAATACAGAAAAGCAACAGGTCAAGTAGAATAAACATTAAGAAAAAGCTTTCTAATAAAAAAGTGAATGAAAATCAACCTGTGGCCCTACACATTCATATACCATGTGTAAAAACTGTAAAAACCAAAACAGCTAAAAAACCAACCAAACCAATAAAATGGTACAAAATAAAAACAATAACACAAGAATAAGGAAAAAAAAAAGGCTTGAAGCTGTAAAAACAAAAACATTCCCTAACCTGAAGGAAAGAGGTGGGAGCAAAGAGTACGTGTCAAAATCAGCCTCAGAAACTTCCACCCTTTATACACGGTACCCAGTAAAGCGCACCTCAAATTGGCTTAGTAAGTAAGTCCCTTCTACATTTCATTTGAACCATGAGGTGTAAAACCATAACATTTACCTTCATCTTTTGAATATGAGGTCAAACTCTCAAGGATTAACTCTATTTGGACATGAGAAATAATTCCTCTCAAAAATTAATGAAATAGTAAAAAAAAAAAATTAGAGCTTCTACAAATCCTGGTTCAAGTGAGGATTCAAGAATCAGAATGTACTATTAATGTGACCCAATTTATGCCCACAGTTTGTGAGTATCCCCGGTAATATGTATGCACTGAAATATACTTTTCCTCACATTTATTTGGCTTTAGAATACATAAAAATCAAAATTCCAACAATTGTTTCTAAACATTTTTAAGTTACATAATGTTTTGAGATGCTGACAAAAACAAGACTGTCTCCTCAGAAATATGTACATTTGCATCTCCATGCTAAATTTCATAATTTTTCAAGGGACGCATGGTCCTCTTGCATTTCTTCTGCAGAGCCGTTGGGCTTTGATATGGTTTGGCTGTGTCCTCACCCAAATCTCATCTTGCATTGTAGCTCCCACAATTCCCACGTGTCATTGGACGAACCTGGTGGGAGGTAACTGAATCATGGGAGCAGGTCTTTCCTCTGCTGTTCTCGTGATAGTGAGTAAGTCTCATGAGATCTGATGGTTTTAAAAACGGAAGTTTCCGTGCGTAAGCTCTTTTCTCTTGTCTGCCGCCATTCAAGACAGCCTTTGAGGCCTCCCAAGCCACGGGGAGCTCTAAGTCCAGTAAACCTCTGTCTTTTGTAAATTGCCCATTCTTGGGTATGTGTTTATCAGCAGCGTGAAAATGGACTAATACAGTAAATTGGCACCAGTAGAGTGGGGCGCTGCTGAAAAGATACCTGAAAATGTGGAAGCAACTTTGGAACCGGGTAACAGGCAGGGGTTGGAATAGTTTGGAGGGCTCAGAAGACAGGAAAATGTGGGAAATTTTGGAACTTCCTAGAGACTTGTTGAATGGCTTTGATCAAAAGGCTAATAGTGATATGGACAATGAAATCCAGGCTGAGGTGGTCTCAGATGGAGATGAGGAACTTGTTGGAAACTGGACTCTTGCTATGTTTTAGCAAAGAAACTGGCGGCAGAATGTTTTCTGTTTGAGTTACAGGTTAGAGGGCTTTCAAGATAGTGCTGTTCTACCCCAGTGTTGGACTGAGTTACTGAGTTTTATTAAAACTATTCTTTCAGGTTTTGAAAACTACACCGTTTAGTGTGGGGCTGTGCTATGGAAGCAATCTGAAAGTCAGAGTCAATGCTTTTGTGAGAACCAGTCTATAATAATGACCAAAACTGTTGTACTGAGTCAAGCTTATGTTCCACTCCTTCTCTTAATATGAGTTATCTCATAAGATACCCCGAGGTCTTCAGGCAAATGGTCTTCAGAGTGTTTGGATTACTTGCCCTCCCAGTTTGTCAGACATGCCTGCATGTGCTCTTAGACTCTAATTGGTATCTTAGCTACATCAATCAACATGTAATTGTTCTTCATATACTATACTCCAGTGTTGAAATATTACAAACCATTCCATATCAAAGTAAGCAAACAACCTTATCTCTGACTCTGGGCATTAGCCTACGAATTGCTTAAAGACCTACCATCTTACAGTTTTAAGGTTCTTTTTTCAAAGTCCAGCTAGTAGCCAATAATTTCTACCCTAGTCTGTGTATCCAGTAATTAACATAGGATGAGGAGTCAGACCAATAGCTCCACTACTTTCTATATATGTGACTTTGGGCAACTTTTCTACCTTTGCTGAGCCTGCATCCTCATTTGCAAAATGGTAACAGTATGGTACCTCCCTCTTAAGGTTGCTGTGAGAGTTAAGTGTGGTATGAATGCAGGACCTGGTGCAGAATAAGCATCCATCACACCTCAGCAATTTTACTTCCTGCAGGTTGTAATGGTTATGCTACTGGACAGTTGCTTCTCCACCATGGCCTCTTGCTGTTCTGCCTTGAAGTTTATAAGATAAACCAGAGTTTCTCCATCAACTCATGAAACTACAAAACATCTGCTGTAGAGCAGCAATAATATTTCCCCCAGACTGATTCAAGTGTGAATCCTGGCTCCTTCCCTTTCTGAGCCAATGATCTTGGTCAGGCCACTTAACCTCTCCGAGCCTCAGTTAATCTAACGTGAAAATAAGGTGCTGTGAGGATCAATGCGTAAATCTACGCCACATGGAACAAGCATATAGCAGGGGCTTAAAGAATTGTAATGCCTTTCCCCTTTTCTTTTCCTTCTTAAAGGAATTTGTCGTACGAACACAGTTATGGTAGCTTAAATTTTCTTTCTTTTTTTTTTCTTTCTTTCTTTCTTTCTTTTTTAAGAAACAGTTTCATTGTGTCATCCAATCTGGAGTGCAATGGCACCATCATGGCTCACTGCAGCCTCAACCTCCTGGGCTCAAGCAATCCTCCCACCTCAGCCACCTAAGTATCTGGGACCACAGGCACATGCCACCATGCCCAGCTAATTTTTGTATTTTCTGTAAAAACAGTTTTACCATGTTGCCCAGGCTGGCCTCAAACTCCTGAGCTCAAGCAATCCTCCTGCGCTAGCCTCCCAAAGTGTTGGGATTATAGGTGTGAGCCACTGTGCCCAGCCTAAATTTTCCATGTTATTTCTAAACCAGAATTAATTAAATCACAGTCTGTTAGGGCTGAAGTCATAGATTTCAGAAATCATTTAATTCAATATCCTCATTTATTTATTTTAAAATTATATAATTAAAAATTATAAAATACATGTTTGTGGTAAAACTTCAAACACTATAAAATACATACAATAATATGGACAAAATACTTTTCTCCCTGAAATTAATTTCTGTTAACAGTTTGATGTGAATGCTTCAAGAGATTGTTATGTGCATAGATATACACAAAATTTTATATACAGACAGATAAACATATATAACTATATAAATAGATTATTAAAATATGTCTATATTTACATATTTATATACAGTTCTGAAATATTGTCATCCAAAATCCTTTTCCTTTCAATATTTTAAATATGGCTTATTTAACTACTGCATAAAGCTACCTTATATGAATGTATCACTATATGATGATGTGTCAATCATAGCCCTTAGTTGGCTTGCAATGTTTAGCTATTAAAAGCAATACTGTAGCAAGTAATCCTTGTATGAAACTGTTTTTTTTAATAGACTAGATGTATAGAGGTAGAACACTAGGTGAAAGGTCATGCACAGTCTACATTTTGACAGCTACTGCAAAATTGACCCTTAAAAGATTGAACCAATGTAACATAATAGGGCATGAACATGGCTGTTTCTCCTGCTTTTTTTCATCAATTCTTTTTAATTTTCACAAGTATTTTTAACTTTGCCAATATGATAGGATCAAAATGATATCTCATTGTAGTTTTAGTTTGTATTTTTCTGAGTTATAATGAGACTGAAATTTTTTTATGTATTTTGGCTATTTAATTTTTAGTTAGGAATTGCTTTTTCAAATTGTTAACCTGTTTTCCATTTATTTTTAATTTTTTTAATGATTTGCTTGGGCTTTTTCTTTATTATGAATATTGATCTTCAGTTATAAATGTTACAGATTTTTTTTCTTTTTCCATTTTTTAAAAGTTTACATGTTTTGCCTTTATTTAGTTATTATTTCATCAAAGAGAAGTGGTAAAATGTTATAGAGTTAAGTCTTTTGGGGTTTTCAATTTTAGCTTCCATGTTTTCTCTTTTTCTTAGGCAAGTCTTCTTTACCCTAAGGCTGTAAAATATATTCTTTATATTTTCTCAATATTTTAACTTCTTTCTTCATTTGAAATTCGAGACCATTTGAGATTTATTTTTCTGTATGGGTTGGCATTAAGTCTGAATTATTCTTTTTCTAACCAGTTATTTAATTTTACCTGTATTTGTCTTTTCTGATTCTGCTGCTATGAATGCTGCTTTACTACCTGATCTTACATTATAGAAATCTGAAGCCCCAGAGAGATTATGTGATTTTTCTAGAGGGATGCTTTACAACTGGGGGAAGTCTGCCCTGCCAAGGAATATTTGGCAATGTATGGAGAAATGTCTGGTTGTAATTACTAGGAGAGTGCTGCTGGCATTTAGTGGTAGAAGCCAAGGATGTTGCTAAACATCCTAAAATGCACAAGACAGGCCCCCCACAAGAAATTATCTGTCCTAAAATGTCAATCGTGCTGAGGTTGAGAAATCTTGGAATCATCACAGTATATAAATACTGGTCATAAAAAAATTTACTTAATAAAGGTATTTAAACATGTTTTTAAGGTATTTAAAATTATTAGCCTTTAGTATCTGTTGATAAATCTTCCAAAAGTTGTTTGCATATAAGCTTGCCATTGTGAGTTAGTAGATGTCCATTTTCCAGGTGAGAAAAAGATGTGAGCTTTTCTCATTGTCTCAGGAGCAATGATACTTCATTTCTATGAGATGCTCCCTGTTCTTCATGACACTGAAATTTTTCATTCTCACCAACTCTAGAACAGACATTGAATCCTTTGGATAGCAACGGCATATCATAATTGTGTGTTCTTTTCAAAGCACTGGTTTTAGTCATGCCAAGTGGAAACAAATTTTCAACCATGACTTTACCTTTCATATTAAAAAAAAAAATCAGACACAGAATCATCAGAAACACCAAATTAATGGTAATGATTTCAGGTCCTACTCCAGACCCACGGAAGCAAAGATTCCAGGTTTGGGGCCTAGGACTTTGTATTTTCATGAGGTGAACCAAATGATTCTGAGGGTGAGCTGAGTTTGGGAGCCAGTGCTGTGCCACACTCACAGGCAGGCTACCTGCAGGAAGAGAAGCTCTAATCCCCATGCTACAAATTCTCCCAGCTTGGCTTCTTTCTCCAGAGAGGAATTTGGTCTCAGAAACTGAAAGATTCATGTCTGCAGTAGGATAGTGAAGAAATTAAAAATAAAAATAAGAAAGTGAAAGAAGACTAGTTTTTTTAGGGTTAAAGATTTTCCTATATTCACCACATCAAAAATGTAGTAAAATGGTGACTCATACTAACCATGACCTCTTTGAGGTTTTAAAATGTGTAAGGAGAAACTACAGGGATTGAAGACAAAACCATGCCAGTTACTCGTTTCTGTGACAGCTAATGATAGTTTATGTTGGTTCAGTTTTCTTTGATCTCAAAGTGGATTTAAATATTAATTAAGCATCGTAAAACCAGCTTGCATTTAACAAATATAGCAAAGCCTAGAGAATAGGATCACATGGATTTGGTCTGCAGAATTCCAATTGGAAAATGCTGTGAATCACCTAATGCTGCACATAGATGCATTTTGCTTCACTTTTAATCCCAAAAATTGGATATTATATTATCAAATTGCAAAACATCAGTGGCCACATATTCACTAACTTGCTAGAACTTTCAAGTAAAACTTCCTTTGCTATCTTATACAAGATAATTGAAGTTGTTTAAAATGTTTGTTTAAAAACAACTATGACTTCAACTACTTATCTGTGCAGATTCTATCATATCATATAGCCAAATAAAACAAAGCACTACTGTGTAAGTCTAGGCAGATATAACCAAAGTTCTGTTATTTGTAATACCATTTCTAATTTTGGGGATCACTGAAGTAGTGTCACCCTTATCACTGTACTTCATGATATGTGAAGGTCATAAATTTGAATTGTATATGATAAATATATACTACTGCTACTCATTTACTTTATATGTGTTGAAGCCTCTACAACATTTTTTGTTTGAAAAGATTTGCTTCTAAATATGTCCCTGGATAAGTTGGTTTCTATAATCCTTCTCTCCTCTGACATTATATCTAGATCCTTTTAAAAAATTAGAAAATATCTACTTGTATTTTCAGCCTTTGCGAATTTGAAGTAGGAAGTAGAGAAATGGCTGGGAATTATTTTAGTCCTGGAGCACTTAGAGGGGAGTCAGGCTTGTGCGGCTTCCAAATTTAGGGTTTAGGATCAGCCAGCAAGCAGCACAAAGCACCACAAACCTTTACGGAGGAAGAGGGGAACTATATGATGGGAGAACCACCCAGACACTGAAGTGGCAGGCATTGCGGTTTCCCTGGCTGGTGTGGGGCAGAAGGGCAAGGTTGTGCAACTCTGCTTTTGTCCTGCTCTGATTTTTAAAGTTATTACATCACAGGACTATGTGGTGTTGAGGCTGACAAACCCCTGGCAGATCAGATGAGTAAACTCAGACCAAGAAAAGGGAAACAACTTGCCCAAATGTTTAAGATCAGCTTCAGCATGATGGAGGCTAAGGCAAGCAAGGGGCAGAAGGAAATGAAGAGATGAGAGAGAGCAAGTCGGGTAAGAAGAGGCCCTTTCAAGCACCTCATAGCATTCAGGAGACATCCCAGCCCTTTAAAAGAAGTAAATGGTAAGTGTCTCTGTATTCAGAGATTGCCTCTCCTTAACACATTCTGGCTTTTGGATTGAGGCCTTGGGAGTCTCAGCTCCATTTCCAGAACGTATCAGCATGTTGCCTACCTTTAACTGTCGCTAATGTTGACATATATCATTCCCAAAAGCTTTCCCCCAAAGGTTCCTGACCTAGAGTGTTTATTTGATTGTCTGTGATGTCTGGCATATCTTTCCAACAGAGGAAATAGAGCCTATTCTTAATCACATTAATACATACCAAACAAAATAAATCAAAACGCACAACAAAAAAATCCAGAAACTTTATAGACAATTTAAAAAAACAATGCCCTTAAAGATATAGAAGAAAATTGTTTCCCCCTTTCCCATCCCTTCAAACCTGTAATATACCTAAGGAAAGATGGGACAATCAAGGATCAGAAAAGACTCCAGTTGTCATTGGATTTCTTTAAAACTTTTTTCCCAGGGCCACTAGAGGGCCAGGCACAAAGATGTGCAGACTTGGTTTGGGGCCTGGGAATCCCAGACGAAGCCTTAAAGCCACAGGGTCACCTAGCAGGGAGTCTCACTTACAAGATACAGTAGAGTTCCCCTTCCTGTGTCTGAGTGTTCTCATTGTTCAATTTCCACCTATGAGTGAGAACATGCAGTGTTTGGTTTTTTGTCCTTGCGATAGTTTGCTACCAACATGGCACATGTATACATATGTAACAAACCTGCACGTTGTGCACCTGTACCCTAGAACTTAAAGCATAATTTAAAAAAATCCAATAAACAGTCCTCTGGAAAAAATAAAGTTTCTCATCTACAGAAAAAAAAAATAGAGAAGGGTGGAGTTCAACAGACCTGGGTTCAAATTCCAGCTCTGCCTGTCACCAGCTGTGGGCCCTTGGACACATTTCTGTTTTCAGATTGCTCACTCATAAACGACTAATAACAGCATCTTCCTCACAGCACTGTTGTAAAGCCTAAGTAAAATATAGGTGTGAGTTGCACAGCATGGCACCTGGCGTACAGAAGCTACTTAAGATGTTGTTGCTATTTATTGTTATTATTAGGATGAATATCAGTTTGTAGGCTTGAGATAGAAAAAATTAGAAGTGAAGCTGATTACTTAGAAATCTTCTATCTCATTTTTCAGTTAAAATATTAATATAAAAGAAGGCTGCAACAGGCAATCTCAACAGTAGACCATGCTCTGTAGTAATTACACTTTACTGGGCTGGGTTTAGCTCCAGCTGAACTAGTACTCAGCTACTGTGGATGCCATGGGCTTTGCCACATCAATACTTAGCAAGTGAGTAATTTGGATGTTCTCTATGTAGCAATTTGTGTAGACAGCCAAAGCAGAAATGTACTTTAAGGCTATACAGATTGAATCTCTGTATTGATTAAATCATCAGATCTATTGTTGGTTGGCTATGTACCACGAGAATTTTGAAATAGGCAGGCCTAAAAGACTTTCTACATTTTGCCATAATGAGGTTTGTCCATCCACAAAACCTATCTGACACCCCAAAACACTGATACTACTAGTGTTTTTGTTTTTATTTTACTGTGTTTTTAAATTTGTTTTAGGCAGGGTCTTGCTCTGTTGCACAGGCTGGAGCAGTGGTGTGATCACAGCTCACTACAGCCTCAATCTCTCACATTCATGTGATCCTTCCACTTCAGCCTCCCAAGTATCTAGGACTGCAGGTGCATGAAACCATGCCTGGCTAATTTTTGTGTTTTTTGCAGAGACAGGTTTTGCCATGTTGCTCCTTGAGCCCAGGAGGCTGGCCTCAAACTTCTGGTCTAGAGCGATCTGCCTGCCTTGGCCTTCCACAGTGCTGCGATTACAGGTGTGAGCCACTGTGCCTGGCCCTGACAGTGTTTTCCATCTAACTGTTCTAGGGAAAAAAAAAAAAATCTCACTTATTTTTTCCGCTTTAAGAAGTTACTCCATTTCCATGCATCTCTTTCTTCCCTCTTTCTCCAGTAGATTGTTAGGTCAAGAGGAAGGCAAAAAGGCAAGCAGATTATCTTGCTTAACACATGAATACAAAATAAAAGGTTTTCTTTCTTTCCCCAAAAAAAGTTTACCACTTATTTCCTTCTTTAATATTTACTCAAATTTGCGATTAATTCCCTTTAAAATTATTCTTATTTATAGATAAATTTGTATAACTCCCTCATGGGAAATTTGGCAATGTGTGTAAAAAATTTAAATACTCCTAACTCATAAATTTATTTTTAGGAGCCATCTGTGGTGAACCAAAATATTTATAAGAAAATAGTGAAAAATTGGAAGTGGCATAAATAGTCATGTGAGTGAACTGGTTATAGAAATTATAATTCGTGTTTACAACAAAATATTCAGTCATTACAAAAATATTATAGAGGTATATTATAGGTAGTACAAAAGTGTTCATAATATGTTTTAACAGAGAAAACGAAGGCTGCTAAATAATACTTATTGAATACTTTTCCAATTATAAATGGACATGAACAGAAATGGGACCAGAGAGAAATCTATCAAAATATTAACCAAGTAGGTTTCTCTGGGTGAAAAGGAAATTATAATTTTTGTTAGTTTCTATTTTCTAAAATGGCTATAATAAACACATCTTATTTTTATAATTAGACAAAATACAGTAAGTTTTTATTTAATTTAAGAAAGTATTGCCAAGTCTATTTTCATCTAAGAGAACAATAGTTCAATTTAGGAGTGGAAAGAGCCACGGGCATGACCTACCTAAATGCAGAGTCCATTTGTTGAAGGACGGCTGATTCTGGAATGGCTTTTCCTCAGGTCGGATGCTATATTATAAAGGAAAGCCAAAGTAGTGGAGGAAACAGGACATTGACCATGCAGAGCTTTCCCTATAATCAGCCATCACCTTAGCAACCAGCTTCGCTGCCTCAGGCCTAAATTCTTCTGTAGCTGCTTTAATTTATGGATACCATTTTCCCTGTCTGCCTAGTGGGAATTCATTAGGCAGTGTCCCGATGTGTAGGTGTACATCACTGGGGCTGTGGAAGGTTTTAGCTGATAGATGAACATGATATTATGTGACCTTGAATAACATAATATGCCAATCAGTCTCTGTTATTAGTTTCTTCTTGCTGCCATAACAAATTTCCACAAACTCAGTGGCTTAAAAAGCACATAAATTTATTCTCTTACCTTCTGGAGGTCATAATTCTAAGATCAAGGTGTTGGTAGGGCTATATTCCTCTGGAGACCAGAGAAGAACCCACTTCCTTGACTTTTTTACTTCTAGCTACTAGAGACTGCCTCCATTCCTTGGCTCCTAGCACATCACTCCAACCTTGGGTCCATTGTAACATCTCCTTTTTCTAACTTTGGCCTACTTGCCTCTCTCCTATAAGGGCCCTTGTGATTACACTGGGCCTAACCAGATGACCCAGCATGATCTCCTTACTTCAAGATCCCAACTTAATCACATATGCAAAGTTCCTTTTGCCATATAAGGTAACATATTCACAGGCTCCTGAGATTAGAATATGGACATCATTGGGGGCCATTATTCATCCTATCTTATTACAGTCTCCCTATCAAGTTTCCTTCAGTCTTCTGAGCACATCAAGGAGGAAGTCTAGCTTTTGCTTATGGCATTGTTTCTAGCACTTGCTAATCTCCCTTTCAAACAAAGAGCATGCATTTAACAAAAAGAAGGCAGATATTAAACTCAGGTGCACTGGCTAGGCATGGCATCTATCTACTTTATTATCAGTCATCTACTTTTTATTATGTTATGGTTACCTTCAAGTTTTGGCAAATGATATTTTATTTTTTTCTCATTTACACTATAGCTGCATAAAATTTCTTTTAAAAAGTGAAATAGTGAATTAATTTTGAGACTTTTAAGCAAACAATATTATTGGTAGCATGCAGATTTTGCAAACATTGTGAATGAAGAATGTGAATGACTAGCGTTTGGGAAATATTGCCATAGGAGAATACTGCCCTATTAAGATTAGGGAAGAGTCATGTTGTTTGGGGATGACTATGATCCCTCCCTTAGCTCTGTATGAGGCCTCTCTTGAGGAATGTGATGCTATTTTCTTTCTGCTTCTTTTGACAGTTGATTCTTTACAGGGATAGAGGGTGAGCCAGCAAGACAGGGAGAGGTACTATCCCTTTTATTCATGAAGAATGAAAATTGACAATGGCAAATCTCTGGGACATTATGTATTGGTCATTGGCTATATGCAAATCTCCTTCCAAGATTTGCTGAGAGGAAAAGGCAAGTCCCTGCATTACAGGTGTGAGCCCCTTTCTGGTAGAGGACTACAAGTCAGGGCAGTTAAAGGTAGAAAAGGGATGGGTTCATAGGAAAAGGAACAATACAGTGCTGTGGAGTTTAGACAGAGAGGTGATCCTTTTAGTTGGAAGCAGGGGATGGAATAGAGTGAGAATAGGGAGGATCAGGAAACTCTTCATGGTGAAGACAGTTTTTCTTCAGAAACTTTGCCAAGAATTTTCTCAAGAAGCATTTAGGGTGGGGGCCTCATTATCACCAACACTTTAGGTTTTTTTCCTGATGGTATTTTCAGTATTAGGAAGTTTTCCTGAGTACCAACTACTTGCCAGACACTACGCTTGGGACTCCATACATGCTACTATATGATTAATGCTACAACTGCTAAAGCAATGAGGCTGGTTTTCTTACTTCCATTTTTCAGAAGTGCAAGCTGAGTCTTACTTGCCTGAGATCATATAGCCTGTAAGTAGCAGACGTTTTCTTCAAGTGCTGTCTGGTTGCAATGTTGATAAGCTTGCCCTGCAATAAACTGATTTCAGCAGCTTTGGTCTGAAGTGATTCTCCCAGTCTGGAACTAATTGAACTAATCGAACTAATCGAGCTCCGTGTCAATATGTCCAACTTCAGCTAGAACTTACCCAGTCTCACTCAGCAGCTTTTTCCTAGGGCTTTATCCAGAGCTGTCCAACAGACAGCGCTGATGGAAATACTTCATATGTGTGCAGTAACCACTAGTTACATGTGGTATCAAGCACATAAAATGTGACTAAGACTGAGGACTAAATTTATTTTATTTGATTTGAATTAATTAGAATTTAAATTAATATAGCCACATGTGGCTAGTGGCTACTGTATTGGACAGAACAGTATGTAGCTAGACTCATTCATATTAAAGTTAAAATCATCCAAGCAGTAACAGTGATCCAGGAGGCAGAGTGGACATGGCTCAGGCTGTACTGAGTCACATTAACTTTGCTCTAGAAGACAACTTTACAAAGGAACTAAAAGGGACAGGATTAAAGATGACTGAATACTGGGCTCCAGAAATTTGTAACCATCAGCTTAGCAGATCATATATTCTTCAGTGGAGCTGAAAATTGAGAAGTCTGCTCTTCACAGTGATTTGGAACTTTCCAATCCCAGAGAAAAGTTGACCAAGGAACTGCCCAAGACTGAGTCCATATGGAAGAACTTCATCTTCTCTAGGAAGAAAGTGGCAAGGTTTCATAAAATAAATGAATGGATTCACAGAATCAGCAATAAAATTACTTTATTACATATAAAATGTTATAATGGTAGGAAATCCCCAAAAGCCAATACAGGCTACTCGGTCATCTTTGAATAAGTTAGATGTGGGAAAGTGGGAGAACTGCAGTTAATTCATCACCTTTGTCTTTGGCAGTGCTGGTCATGAAGTTTTATATCCTACAATAATATCCTGGCACAAACTGCTGTGGCTGTTTGAGGATAGGTAACATCCAGAGCACCATCAAACCTCAGAGACTGGATTTTTTAAGTGGCAAAAAGATAGCCAGCCTTAGCTGTGGGAGTAGTATACACATTGTCCTTGCAATAGAAGAAGAAGTCTTTACTTGGGGGCCATAACGTGTATAGCCAGCTGGGATCTGGGACAACTAATCATGGTTTCTCTACGAATTTGTCAAACAAGTCATTGAAGTTGCCTATGGGTCTCACCATTCTTTGGCGCTAATATCTGATGGAGAGGTATTTGCCTGGGGTTATAGTAACTCTAGGCATGTAAGATATGGATCAACAGTTAATCAGCCAATCGCTCAGGGAGTCACTGGCTGCTTACGGAATAAAAAGGCTGTGAACACAGCATGTGGGCAGGTGTGCTCCATGGTGGCGGTAGACACTGGGGAGGCTACTTGAACCTACAGACATACATTAGTATTAACAGATGAAGGCCAAGTATATGCTTGGGGTGCCAATTATGGGCAGTTGGGCACTGGCAATAAAAGCAACCATTCCTATCCTACCTTTGTCATTGTGGAAAAGGACAGGATTATAGAGATTGCAGTCTGTCACTCTTCCCACACATCTGCTGCCAAGACCCAGGGTGGGTGTGTGTACATGTGGGGCCAGGGCCAGTTGATGATATTCCCTCACCTCACCCACGTCTGCACTGATGACACATTTATCTGCTTTGCTGCTCCTGCCATCCATGGCGCCTCCTCTCTGTGGAACCTGATGACCACCCTCGCAGTGGCCGAGTTACTGAAGAGGGAATTTGACAACCTGGACACTGCAGTCTTGAAATTTGTGGTCAGTGGAAAGTATATTTATGCACATAAAGTCCTCAAAATTTGATGTATGTGAGCATGTTCATTCATTGCTGGAAGGTAATGAGGATGTTATTGTAGAAATGAGTGAATTTTCATACTCTGTTTACTGGGCCTTCCTGGAATACCTGTACACAAACAGCATCAGTCTTTCTCCTGAGGAGGCAGTAGGATTGCAAGATTTGGCTACATTTTATAAAGAAAATCATTTGAAAAAAGCTCTGCCAACAATCAAGCAAGGCATCCGTGAGCAGAGTGCAGTCCCTCTGCTCTCGGCTGTTGTGAAGTATGACGCCTGGGATTTGGAAGAAGTCTGCTTCAGGTTTTGCATAAACCATCTGACTATAGTAACAAATTTCAGGCTTTGCATAAACGGACTATGATCTCCTGAAGAACTTTATCAGAAAAGAAAGCAGAGTTAAAGCCTTTAAAAATGGATCCCATCTTCAGAAAAGGAGTTTCTGAACCTTTCTATTTCTCCTGCAAAAGCCAGAAATAATCATTTCTCTTGAATTGATACTATGTTTGAAGAGTTACATTTGGCTGAGTACTTGCGTCTGTCAAAAGAAGGATGGTGGCGAGTAATTTTCATCTTACTAAATCCAGAGTTTATGTAGAAAGCATTGAATACTCTGATCAGATGTGACTAAGGCCAAGGAAAAAAAATGAAATACGTTCTTTACCATTTCCTCTTTTGAGTCACTTAAGTTGGTACCTTTTGTACCCTGGTCTCAGTATATGCTATTCTGGCCCAAACATTCTGTTATTCAGCGATACCACATAGACAGCCTGATAAGGAGTGCTGTTCCTACCACATTGTCAGTACCCAGCATGGTGCCTTGCATATAATAGGCACTCAATTTATTATAAATCTTCAGTACGCCCGGATAATAGCTTTAGTTGTGGAGTACTCGATGAAGTACTTGCACAAAATAAATCTAAAATACTCTGTAATTACTGAAGTTCTTATTCTTCTGGTACATGATTCTGAGAAATAGTGGCTAATTTAGAGCATTAATTACAATTCGCCAAAAGGCCTTGGCTATTAAATTGCCCAAGATCCAAGGGCTAATTTTGATTTTCTATTTACTCTGAGTCATTAATTTCTCACATGGGATTATTGAGTATGAAGTATTATTTTTGAATGAAATCCCTGTATTGATGTGCCTCACATAATGACATAAGGTCCTTTACTTTGCTCTGTGTTGAGGGACTTGCCTCTGTAAGTGAAAAAGACTATGTATTTTTCTTGTAGTTGGCTTTCATGTCACTACAAAATAGGTCTTTTAATCTGGCAGTAGTATAATTATAAAGTACTATCTGAAAAGGAACTAATACTTACATTTCATGGGCACCATTAATAAGAATGAGATAAATTTATACTATTTATTTATTTATTTAGAGAGAGTCTCGCTCTGTCACCCAGACTGGAGTGCAGCAGTGCAATCTTGGCTCACTGCAACCTTTGCCTCCCAGGTTCAAGCAGTTCTCCTGCTGTAGCCTCCTAAGTATCTGGGATTACAGGCATGCACCACCATGCCTGGCTAATTTTTTGTATCTTTAGTAGAGGTGGGGTTTCATCATGTTGGCCAGGGTGGTCTTGAACTCCTGACCTCAAATGATCCACCTGCCTTGGCCTCCTAAAGTGCTGGAATTACAGGCATGAGAATTTATACATTTTAGATCAAAACAAGTCACTCAATTGCAAAAGAGAAACTGGAATGGAACATAGTGTCAGATTCTTCTAATATGTATCTCACAATATAATATTATGTAAATAAAACTCCTTTGGAATTAGGAATCTTGTTCTGATACTGAACTATTTGATAATAAGGTGCTTATTTGAAGATAACAGAAAAAAATCATCTAATCAGATTATTTTGTTTTATGTTGGAAGACAATGAGGCCCAGAAAATGTGACTTGCTCAAGGTAAAACAAAATAAACCTCCAAAAATCAAATGAACTAAACAGATATAGATGCTTGCTTTTAGAAATTAAGATACCTGACTTCCAATCACAAGTTTTCCCATTCTGGAAAGGGAAGAAAACACGTGGAGTAAGCTGAGAAATATGGTTACCAGCCTATGGTGAGATGGTGGATGATCTCCAAAGGTCACTCAGGAAGGATGTGGTTACCATTAAGCCTGGCCACATGTGAATCGCAGCTGATAAAAATATTGCATCTTCTTTGGGGAGTACTTTCATTTTTTAGCACAGCTAATGCTAAGATTTTTTTTAAAAAAACTCAGAATAAAATATAAGAAACAAGAATATACTGAAATAAAAAGAATACGGTATGAAATAAAAAGAAAAAAGGTCAAAAAGGTGGCTTTCATATGTAATATTTTACATACACCTATCCAGAAATATATGCATAGATATGTACAATTTAATACATATATTAATATACATACATAGAAAGATACATACATTTAGGTGAAACAAACAATATCCTGGAAAAACATACCAAAATTGATGCAGTGAGACAAACTTCATTTGTAATGTTTAATTTCCAGACCCTGGTAGTAAATATAGATGTTCAGTGTAGTGTATTTTATATGGTTTTGCAGGTCTGCAATTGTTCATAATAAAAATGCAAGAGTTTGATGGATAAAGAAAGATGGACAAGATAAAGAAAAACTGAAAGAAAACTAAAAATGATTAAACACACTGGAGACTGTAAAGCACAGAATTGCATAGAAGTACGTTAGTGATCCTGAGAAAGACTTGATTACCAAGCCCACAGGTCAGAGAAAAAGACAAAGAAATAAAAATACTCTTTGACAGAGAAGATGGTAGACATTGAAAAAACATATAGGTAACAGATTATTGACTAGATTAAAACAAAGGACGAAAAGGAATTGATGTCAATATTCGAAGGCATGATAGAAGAAAACTTGGGTTGAAGAAACATGTAAGTGCAGATTGAAAGAGTTCGCTGCAAAATTGAAATCAAAGGGGATACCTTTGCAAAAATATGCTTGCTAAGTTCATTTCATTACAGAGATGAAAACCAAACCATAATAATATAAAACAAGTATATAAGCAGAAAGTTAATTATTTTCTAAAAATCCACAACGGGTTACCTACAAATAGATAAAAACAAAGGTGACTTTACACACTTCTGTTGTAATGCTAAACTCTGGAAGAAAATAGAGAAATGTCTACAGAATTTTGTGGTAGAAAGATGTTTTAACCTTTTGTGTTAAGGCAACAAAAAACATTCTCAGACACTCAAGGGTGCAAACAATATTTAAAACATATTTCTTCGTGAAAAAAATTACTTGAAACATATCAAATGGCTAGCAGGTATATCAAAAAAGTGGAAAACAAAGTTAAAATTAGATACATATAAATAACTATGGAAATACACATATGTATTATGCCAATGCCAAAAAATACACTTGAAGCTATTGAGTATCACACTATACTTACGATATTTGCATTTTATAATTATTAAAATATACGTGTAACTTTGTAATATGAATACGTATTTCATTATAACATTAAACATTCTCAGGTTCCATGTACACCTGAGACAAGTCTTGTGGAGTATGTGGTCAGTAATTTTCCCTTGGCTTCACCCCAATACTGATTTGTTTGCTTCTGTTTTGAATGTTCAGAACTCCCTGAACCACACACTGTTGAAGTCATACTTTCATAGACTGTAGGACCAGGTTTTCATTACCTAGAGTTTCCTTGGGAATCTTCTCTTTGAGGTAGGGGTAGAGTGGCAGGATGTGGAAGGTATTTTTAAGTGCTTATTTTGTTTTTAATTTTTAATTTTTGTGGGGGTATATAGTGGGTGTATATATTTATGGGATATATGAGATACTTTGATACAGTCATATAATATATAATCACATCAGGGTAAATAGGGTACTCATCACCTCAAGCATTTATCCTTTGTGTTACAAACCATCCAATTATACTCTTAGTTATTTTTAAATGTACAATTAAATTATTGACTATAGTCACCCTGTTGTGCTATCAAATACCATACAAGTGCTTATTTTGATTAAGCTTATTAAGGCCACATCATATCCCAAATAAATAATCTTTCTTAGCTAAGTTGACTGCTTTGATAAGGAAAGAAATTCACACACCAACTAAAATGGCCAATATGTGTAGAAGGTACAAAAAGAAGAAAGGTTTGACTCCAGAATTCCTCCATAAATGGAATTTATGGACAATCTTATAGGAAATAGAATGGAGGAGAATGATGAAACTTTCTTGAAGGTGCATTCCATAGAAAGCGTACTGTTTTTATAGAATTTACCTTTTTATATCTATATACTAAAAATTGTTGGTGTTTTATATTAATACTTCACATAGATTTTTAATGATTGCACACTATTATTACTGTGATTACTTTTATTTGGTTTGGCTCTGTGGGAGATATGATGATGCTGATGGAGGTTTTGACAGAGCTAAAGACATGTCACATCTTGACAATGGCTGGAGGAAGGACTTCATAGTCAATCAAGGTATAAATACTAGCAATCTGTTTTCACCCTACTCCAAAGCACTTCTTAAATCACATTAGAACTCAAAAATGTAATGAGAACCACGTCACTGTTTTGCAATCTCTAAATGCCAAATTAAAATATGAATCAAGGATTGTGTAGTCAAGTCAATGGGAACTCTGACTTGAGTAACATTTTCCCTTGAGGCAGTGTACAGATTACAAAAGGTATTAGCACAGAAAATTTAGCTTTGGGTGGGACTTGCAATTAAGTCAAATTAATGAATCTGAGCGGAGTGTTTTTTTTTTTATTTTCAAGACATGCCATTAAGCAGTGAAACACCAAAAAGATAAAGCCAAAACTTGGAAATAACCCACGTGTTTTTCAGTGAGTGAATAGTTAAACAAACTGTGGTGCATGCATACCGTGCAATGCTATTCAGCAATAAGGAGGAACAAACTTGATATATGCAACAACTTGGATAGATCTCAAGGACATCATGCTGAGTAAAAAAAAGCCAATATCAAGGCCACATACTCCATGATTTTATTTATAAGACATTATAGCAATGGAGAACAGATAAGTTGTCAGGGATCAAGTTCAAGGAGAGCTGGTCATGGTGGTAGTGGTGGTTGACCATAAAGGAATAGCAAAAGTGAATTTAGTGTGGTAATGGAGAGTTCTATATCTTAAATGCTTCTGTTTTCAAGCTACTTAAAATTTATTAGGGCAGTAGACTTACACAGAACTCTCCAAAAAGATAATTCAGAAGCATAATAAAAAGTGATTTAAGCTGGGCGCGGTGGCTCATGCCTGTAATCCCAGCACTTTGAGAGGCCGAGGCGGGGTGGATTGCCTGAGGTCAGGAGTTCGAGATCAGCCTGGCCAACATAGTGAAACCCTATCTCTACTAAAAATACAAAAAATTAGCTGGGCATGTGATGGGCACCTGTACTCCCAGCTACTTGGGAGGCTGAGGCAGGAGAATTGCTAGAACCTAGGAGGCAGAGGTTGCAGTGAACTGAGATCGCACCATTGTACTCCAGCCTGGGCAACTTCACTGGGCAACAGTGAAACCCTGTCTAAAAAAAAAAAGTGATTTAGAAGAGGGAACAGTAATTCTAGAACATATAGTTCAGGCAAAACGTTTCAGAAATGGTGGTATTGTGGCCAGACCTTGGAAAATGTGGGTAACCTTCCTATGAGAGGAGAATGCAGAGGTGATCAAAGTTGAACAAAGCCCTGATGGTGAAACACGTGCCTTGTTCTTTGGTTAATGAGTCTCAAAAAGGCTGTCACTTGAGCAAGACTTCGCCTCTCTGAAACTGATTGATTATACCGATTGAAAGAAATTCACCAATGTTCTGAGTCAGAATTTACATTTGACATCAATTTGTATTGAATAACATTCATGTTATTATTTACCTTGTTCTATTAAAAATAGCAATGAGATATTGAGGCTTGGGAAACTGGAGGAACCTGGTAAGTCTGTTTCAAGGTTGTGAGCCAAATTTCTTGCTTTGTATAAGTAAGAAAAATAAGGAGAAACATTGTCAACATATCCAAAAATTTGTATTACAAGTCTGTGGCCAAGTTCCCCATCAGTAAAGTGTTGCTAGACTCCATTCCTGCTTGGAAGTCATCTTGGTATTCCAGACAAAATAATGAAATGTATTATAATTAATCTGACTGCACCTAGCTCTAGTATTAGGACATTTTTCTGGACCCTAGAGTCCTCCAAGGCATGATTCTCCTCCTAAAAGTAAGCTTTTTAAGGCTTTCAGAACCATCAATTAGCCTACATAAAAATGTATAATAAAATATGTATTCTTTTATGTTTATCTTCCTTTACTGAATATTATGTTTGTGAGATTTGGACAAGTTGTAACATTATGTCATTACTATATTAAAAATTAAAAACTATTAATCACTCATCATGTTACTACCCTGACACAACTAATTTTATTTTTTATATTGCTTCAGTTTTCATTATATACAAATATTTTATAAAGTCATATAATTGTTTTAATATTTGTATATATTTGCAATCACATAGTTCTACCAGTTTCATTTTCTCCTCTTCACATAACATTATATCATGGGTATT